>NC_000003.12:80010000-80313030 GCF_000001405.40 Homo sapiens
CCTCAATTGGTAGCAGAGAAAAAAAATTGCATAGCCTAGCCAAATAGTGTAAATCTCCTTCCAAGACTATCATTGACTGGAGAGATTGCTTTTGGAAAATAGGTAACTCAAGCTATGAAGATGCACTGTTTAATTTATTTTATAAAAGAATGCAAGACAAAGCCAATGCAAACAAAACTTACAACCATTCTTTGAATATATCAAATTAGGGCTAAGAACCATGTAAAATAAGAATAATTGCTGGGCAATATGTATACAGTTCATTATTTTTTAAAATATGCAATTATAATTGAATAAGGATGAAAGGCGATTGTAATAAAACACTGGTAATTTTGGGAGTTTCAAGATAAAGACTATCATCTCCCTTGTGCGTTGGACAGACATGTGTTTTGGCAACCACTTTGATTTTTTGCCCAGGCTCTATTACAGCCATTCTTATCTACATTTCATTCAGAGAAATAGAAAAGAAAGCAAAATCCCAGTCTGCTGAGGCAGGAATAAATGCATTGTGCATCTGATATAGTTAGTTCATTCATTCCACTAAAAAAAAAATTCTGACAGTTTATCAATTTGCAGTGAAAAAAAGATTTATCTTCAGGTGAAATTAATTTCGATTAAAATGGGAAGACTCTTTCCACTAGCAGACTGTCTTTTGTTAAGATGAATAGTAAAACCAAATAACAAAAAAAGTGCTAGGGGAACAGGGAAAGAATTGATCTTAACAATATAATATATATCCTCCAGTACCCTTTTTTCACAAGGTGAATGTTATTTATATGTGAGATAATTTGGACTAATTTGAAGAGCTTGGGGAAGAAAAAAACAGAATATTAAAACATTTCAAAAACCTTGAACTAGAAGTGAAAAAGGAATAAGAAATTAAATGTTGAGAATGTATTTATATTCGTATACACGTATGTGTACATGTATATGTACATTACATTCATATATATATATAAATACACACATTTTATATGATCATTTCATTATAATATGGGATTACACTTTCTGGAGAAAGTACCTCTTAATTCCATTATTGATAGAGATTGGTGAAGACTATGATAAAGAGAATGAAATTCTTTCCAATGGTAAGAAACAGGAGATAGATTTGTGCAACTGACAACAGTTCGTAATGAAAATATTTACATAACACTACTTCTCATATATTTTCATACATCTATGGAGACTTCTCACTGTGATAAAGAGCGCTATACACATCTGGAGAAGGTTGAATGCAGGACTAGGGTATGGCAGAATGCCTATCATAATGGGACAATGAGCAAATGAAATTCTTTAAGATAGTAATTGAATAAAATATGCACACACACACACACACACACACACACACACACACTTCCATATGGACAAGCAAGTTTGGTTCCTCTTTCTAAAGATCAATGACTTAACGTCCTGAATGACTTCTTTGTGCTTAAACTCTAGTTTGCGAATCTTTAACTGTAATTATTTAAACTCTTAAAAATATATTTTTCTTTTTCCCAAAACATGCACAATGGCTAGACTAATTGATTCATTTGTAGAAAAATATTACTCAATTAAGAAAACAATTTGTTGTAAGAATCAGGGGCTGGGCGCAGTGGCTCACGCCTGTAATCCCAGCACTTTGAGAGGCCAAGGCAGGTGGATCACCTGAGGTCAGGAGTTTGAGGCCAGCCTGGCCAACATGGGGAAAACTCGTCTCTACTAAAAATACAAAAATTAGCTTGGTGTGGTGGCGCACGCCTGTAGTCCCAGTTACTTGGGAGGCTGAGGCAGGAGATTCGATTGAAAGTGGGAGACAGAGGTTGCAGTGAGCCGAGATGATGACACTGCACTCCAGCCTGGGTGACAGAGCAAGACTCTGTCTCAAAAAAAAAAAAAGAAAAGAAAAATAAAAATAAAACACTTTGTTAAGAAGTGCTTCCCTAAAGTAGAACCTTCTTGCAAAATGATTTCTGTATATTCCAACTAAGTCAAATGTATTCACAATAGTCACTTACTTAGAGGATCTAAAATATTTATGATAATAATTTCAAAAAGGTAAAAAATATAATAAATGTTTACATATTATCTTTTACAGTGTCATATATATTTTGGAATAAAATTATCTGATAAAAAATGAAGAAGATAAAATACATATATGAGATAATTCCTTTTCAATACCCCATTATCACTTAAATACTAATTATGCAAAATAAGACCATTCATTTATTTAATATAGACATATTATATGCCTTCTAAGTAATGGTATACTCGACCCAGGGGGCACGTTGACGAAACTTGCAGCTCTGTCTTCAAAACACTTACAAGTTAGAATATAATTTGTGAATTACCTATGCCTTTTTACAAATTCTGTAATTTCCTTTCTTTGCTTTTAACTATTCGCTTCCCTGGTTGTCATTCCCTCTCCCAGAAGAGACACAGAGAAAGATAAGTATTGACGTATCAGGATACAAAACACTTAAGTTATAGCATCTGTTACTTGCTGTGTCACTTCTTGCGAGATGAACATGTGTAAATGGAAACCACATCTTTTGCTACCTGTTCATCTACGTTGAATGCTGAAAATGAGAGAGTGGGTGAAAGGAGAAGAAATAATTTAACCACAAGAAGTAAAAACAGCTGGTTCTAGTTCAAAGCAAAAGAAAAAAGCAGCAAGAAACAAAAGCACAAGTACTAGGACAGAAAGGAAGGAGATATATATATATATAACATATATATTATATATCATATATTATATATAATAATATATACAATATATAATATTATATAATTATAATATATAATTATATATAATAATTATATAATAATATGTATATAATATTGTATATGTATTAACATGTATATAACATATAATATGTATAATATATATATAAATATAATATAATATATACATATATAATAATATATGTATATATAACACATTATATATAATATTATATATAATATATATAATATAATGTAATATAATTATATTATACATAATATTATATATAATTATATTATTATATATAATATTATGTATAATATACTTATAATATATAATTATTATAATAATTATTATAAGAATTATAATATATAATTATTATAATAATTATTATAATATAATTATAATATATAATTCTTATAATAATTCTTATAATATAATTCTTATAAGTATAAATAATAATATAATATAATAATATATAATATAATTATATATATAATAATATTATATATATTATTTATTGTATAATATATAATATATATTATATAATAATATATATTATTATATATAATAATTATATATAATATATATATTTTCTATATATCTATATATAGATATATGGATATATAATATATATATTTTCTATATATATCTATATATAGATATATAATATATATATTTTCTATATATATCTATATATAGATATATAATATATATATTTCTATGTATATCTATATATAGATATATAATATATATATTTTCTATATATATCTATATATAGATATATAATATATATATTTTCTATATATATCTATATATAAATATCTCTCTATATATAAATATACATATAAGTATATATCTATATATAAAATATATATAACATACATATTATATAATATATTTAACATACATATTATATATGCTATATATATAATTTATAATATATAACATATATTATATATGCTATATATAAAATGTGATATATATAATATATATGTTATATATGCATATACAAATATATATTCTTAAATATATGTATAACTTGCAGCAACTTGTTTTTATGAGATGAATGTTGTCTAGAGTTTTGATCAAGTGAAGAGCGTGGAAAATGGAAAATGAGAATATTAAAAAGATTTGAGAAATGTTGGTGTACTTGTGTGCTTACACGTAAAATAAGGGTGCAGTTATTGCACTCAGTACAGGTAGAAATCGGAGTGAGGACTAAAATTATTTTTTGATTTAAATATATTAGTTATATGTATACGATTACTTTCTGTTAAACCCTTCTGGGTTTTTGTTTTATGACTGAGTTTTTATCATCTGTTGTTCTTAATTTGCCCTGAAGATTGACAAGTGTTGCCACATGTTATACATTCCATTTAAAATTTGTATCTGTTTATTATGAAATGATTATTATAAACAAGAAAAAATACTTAGAAGTGTTACCTTACTTAGTTACCTGTCCTTAAGTTCACTCTCTTTATAAAATGGTAAGGTATTTATCTTATATTTACATGTTACTTAAACAAAGTTTACATGTCACAAATTGGCCATTGAAATTCATTCGCAAAACACAGTGGTAATAATTATTTCTTGTACATGGTCTTGAAGATAGAACAAATTTACTTACTGAGTTAAAACGATAGATTAATGAAATACAAATGACAATGTGAGCATGGAACTTCCAATAATTCTCAGTGAAAACTATTTATTTACTTTTAGTAATGCTTTAAAAAAGATATGCCACATTGTAGATCAAATGTCTAATTTTTCTACGTGGTCATGTGGCAGATTTTCCTAGCTACCCTCCAGGGACTATTTTCTCTTTCAAGGCATTCTTCCAGATTGTATTTCCCAGCTTCTTTACTTTTGGATGTGGCTTTGTACCTCGTTCTCATCAATGGAAACTGAACAGCTCTGAGATGGATTCCTTCCAAGCCAATGCTATTGAGTAGCATGCTATGCAATAATCTTTTCTGGTGAGAGGCTGCCAAATGATGAGGAGGCCTTGGTAGCAGCAGAATCGAAGACGAAGTTGCCTGGATTCATGGGCATTTCAGTGATGAAAAGCTGCCCGCACACCAGGAACAACTTCACTGCATGCTTTGTAAGCAAGAAATACATTTCTGTGGTGCTTGAATCATTATGAACACAGCTTATTGGTGACAACAGCTAAAATAAATTTAGCATGATAAGGGTACAACCACATGGTTGAAGTATTACTCATTTTTTAAGACTTAGATTATTAAGAAATAATAAAAAAAACAAACGAAAGGCAGTCTAATTTTAATTTAACTTCAATGTTAATATGTGTCTCTATTACTTGATCTGACAAGAATCATGAGACTTATATTAAGTTGAAATATATAAATGGCCTTTTTCTTTCTTGAGATGGAGTCTCACTCTGTCACCCGGGCTGCAGTGCAGTGGCATGATCTTGGCTCACTGCAACCTCTGAAAATGGCCATTTTTTATAAATCAACTTGGTTGAATAAAATTTTATATGGTCCACAATTATATTTAATGCCATATAAAGTACATTTTGATACCAGTGTGGAAAGCAAGTATCAAATTTCAATGCAAACTTTCCACATTTTAAAATACAAACAAATATCAGTTGAGCTTTTCATTCCTGAAGCCCTAATACAGATTTTCTTTTCTTTAAAACAGCTTGGCATTGTTTCCAAATATAAAAATCACTCTTTGTGCAAAAATATATTTAGGGAATCTTAGTTGTTCTCCTTGAAAAATAGCATTCTCCAACTTCATAGTGTCACACCCAGTCAGGACAGAATCTTCCATCAATTATAAATTACTATATATCTATATATCTATATCTATCTATCTATATATCTATCTATATATATATATATATATATATATATATATATATATCATTACTAATGAATTATTTGGCCTCATCACAGGAGCACTTTTTTTCTCCTCTTGGAGCCATCTCCTCAACTTTGAATTGGTATCTAAACAATTACTTTTCAAAATAAATTTACTTTAATGTAGATTGAATTTGCTGTTTGTTTCATCAATTATGATTTCAGGTCTATATTTTCTAATTTCACCCTAATTTTTTAATCTTATTTAGAAGCCCTGCTTCTCCTACACAAGCCTTAGTTTTTGCCAACATAAATTACTAAAGACTATTTTATATTTAAAAAAATACCAGTATATATTTATTAATTATCACTCTGCCATCTATACAGAGAGTTAAGGAACTTGAGAGAAAGAAGCACAACTAAATATAAAAGAAATCCCTAGAGAAGATTCTATAGTGGAGTGGTTGAAAGTGCAAACTAAAGGCAGATGGCTGCCTGAATTCTGTTTACTGCTAATATTTGTTTGCCTGACCTTGGGCAGGTCATTTAAACTTTTCTATGAAAAAAAAAAATACTAGTATTCAAATAAGTTAATTCATATAAAACTTTTAGGACAGTGCTTTTCAAGTAGCAAATACCTAATAAGTGTAGGTGGTTTTATTGTTATTAAACCAGTACATATGCCGTGGGCAATGAAATACTCTCTGTGAATTTGTAGAACTATTGGTCTCTTTTTAAAATTCCCATTAAGTAAAACAATATTTGCTTCAATTCCTCCAAACATAACCTTCAACTTAAATAAAGTGAAGCGTTTAGCTAAGGATATCTTTTTTTAGGATCTAGGTAGGTTGAGTCAATAGTCTAGCAGCCCTGTAGTCTCAGAAAAGAAGCAACTCAACTCCAATAAGGGAGGTTTAAGTTTGATAGTTTTGTGACCCAAAGGAACTTTCCTTCTTTGTTCCATTAAGCCTTGCCAAAACAAGTCAACTGTCAGTCACCAGCAGGATTCTTACACACCCTGAGTAACATCCCTTCTTGTCATCTCCCCACTGTCTCTTATCATTCCAACTTCAATTCATATTGGGTACATAAATGTGTCTGTAAATACATCTTTACACATATGGTACTATTTATATTAACTAATTTATTTACTCTTCGATGGCCTTTGAAAATTCATCCAGAGTTTAGGATGGCAACTCTGAACAGGTATATCTTCAATATATTTTTCGAGATTGATTATCATCTCAAAAATTTTCCTGTTTTTCTTCTTTATAGTAACAGATTCACCTGAGCAAGATTTTATGAATGAGCATTGAGCATAAAAATAGGTACTGTAAAAACAGACTTAGAATAATTTGATAACATTTGGTTTTTGGGTTGGTTTAATTAAAAATCTGTATTCTTTATTTTCTTCTTCACACTGTTCATGTATAATAATAATAATAAAATATAATTTCACTACTCATTCTTTCAGAAGTGCTTCTGAACACTCTTTGTAATAATATTCATTTAAAGAAATCATAATTTTTATAAGGCCAAAATGATATTAAACTTTCATGATGAAGAAAAAAAGATATAGCTAAGTGTTCTAGAAACTGATAGCTTAGACTTGGAGAAACCTGGGTTCAATCCCAAAATTCCCACAACTGTAAATTTACTCAACTGTAATTGGGGACAATAACAATCCTTTTGATTTTTGTATGGATTGTTTCAGATATATTGGTTTAAAATGGAAATATTAACATGATTATTTCATTAGAAGAAGAATAGCACACATAACAGACTATGCTGTATTTGGCATTTCAGTTTGTTTTTGATGAATTCTTTCAACTGTCATATTGGCACTAGGGCTGTTTTCCTTTCCCCATTAGGACAGAGCATTTTGCTTTTATATCAGGGCATCCCACCATGGCTAGGTCATTATTTAACCATGACCAAAGTTTGAAAATTATAAGCATGTGAGTCTTGGGCCACCACATTTTGCTTTGGTCATTAAGAGTGGTTTGTTGATGCTAATGTAGGGCACCCTGTGGTGGTGTTTTTTTCCCTTAGTCTTTGACTTCCTGTTTTGTAACATTTCACATGTAGAGCTAGAGTGATTAATTTTTTATGCAGTTGTTCTTATGTGCAGCATGATATGGTGGGTTCTATTCAATTCTCTAGTAGCTCTGCTGACACTGAAAGGTAACTAATAGCGCGAGTGGGCCTCTCATGGCTCTGGGAGGTCTCCTGCGAAAAAGCAACAGACAATATCTTGTCACATCATAAATTCATAAGGAGTTAATTAAACGCTTTCCCTTGCATCTTAAACACATTCAGAGTCTCGTATCACAAGGAATGATTCCTGTTTAATTACCAATGGCCTGTGAAAATTTGCTGTTCAAAGTGTATTTTAATGCCAGGCAGACTATCAGTACAAATGAAAAACTGTACCTGGAAAATGTCCAAATAATATAAACTTGTACAAAACTATGTGCATATAGTTTTTTCTTAATTATTTGTGAAGAGAGGAACATAAGCTAATTTTAAAACTTTGGAAACTGTCATTATATTTATGACTTTTAAAACATATTAAACTAAATATTGATTTATAATACTATTTGCATTTTCTAGTCAGTACACTGTATTAATTGCTGTTTCAAATTATTTTAAAAAATAAATACATATTGTATAATTACATTGCCAGAAAATTATTGATCAATTTTAGAGACTTCAAGAAATGTTGTATGGGAATATGTTTCAATTCTGATATGAGACATTGTCAATTTTTATATATTTTGGGGAGAACAGAACATGATAAAAGTCAGATTCTAACGTTGTGAGAAAAAATAAATTTTTAAAACCTGTTTGGATTAATATGGAAGAAATTTACCTTGAGGGACTCTCAATTATTCCCCTTAGATAATTTATTTCACCTAATGTATAATGGATAATCTATTTAGGTGGTCTTATCAGAAGCCCTGAAACTGTTTGTAGTGATCTTAATAGATTACAGCCCTTCCACTGTAAAGTAAATAATCAAAATTATAATAAGTAACTATGATTCATGAGGAAGTCATTTCATGATTCAAAGGAATTTTTTTCCAGCAACTTACCATTCATTATTCAGATGTATGTATATGTTTATTCAAGCAGGTCTCTATTGAAAGATTGTAATTTACTCTGTAGTGAAGAGGAAATTATATTTCTACATTTATTTTAATTCTATTTCTCAAGTTTTTTTCTGGGGTCAAAATACAAAGTCTAGAAAAATTCTAATTTGATATAAAGCAAGTCTTAAAAATAGGTAGTATTATTAAGAATAACACTACCCTAATATTTTCAGGTCATTTATTTAGCACCTTTAATTATAATATGAAATATTTTTCACTTCCTAGACAGTTGTATTCATGATAAGAGAATAAATGTGTTTATTTTTCCATAATTCAGGCCCTCTTTAAGCTCATTAAGCAAAATACTTGCCTATATTTGGAGATGGCAAACCTAGATCTACTCTCCATTTTGAGGTACATTCACTTTTATGTATGCATTTCTGCTCTGTCTCAATCTGCCTTGTACTGGCATAGGCAGGTGACATAGGCTGTAATAAGTCCACGTTAGACTTTTTCAGAACAAAGCAAGAAGCAGACGTTGTGTGGAATTACTCTCTTGGCAATGTTGGGGGAAACACCAATTTTCAGAAACAGTGGCAGGCATCCATGTGTCCAGGGAGACATATGATGTCTGTGCTAAGGACTAGGAGTAGTAGTGACTTAGCTACAGCCATTGTAGGTATGGTATGAACTTTGATCCTGGCTGTGTAAGAGCCAAGCTTGACTGTGTATTTCCCAGAAATTCAGCAAGTTCCTAAATATTCTTCAATAAATTTTTTCTTAAATTGGCAAGATTAGGTTCTGTTGAAAACCGAGAAGTTTGTAGGAAAATTAACACTATATCTAATAATGGGCTGTTGGTCATATGGATTAACTATTACAGTTGATGTAGAATGGCACCATCCTTGAGCATATACACCTCTGGTTAGAAACTAAAATTATTGTATTTTATCTTCATTTTTCCCAATTTGAAGAATGCTTCTTACAAAGCTTCTTAGGCAAAGTTATCACAAATTGTACTGCTCCACTTTCTGGTATGCATGAAATAGTATGTGAGGGAAAATAAAATTTCAAAACCTGCTAGGATTTTGAAGTATGGATAATACTAATCCGTAAGCTAATTTTAAAACTTTTGAAACTGTCACTATAATATTTATGACTTTTAAAACATATTAAACTATAAAACTAAATATTGATTTATAATACTATTTGCATTTTCCAACTAGTATATTCTATTAATTGCTGTTTTATGCTGTTTCAAATTATTTTTTAAATAAATACAAGTTGTATAATTTACATGTATATAATAGTATGGATTTATAGTATCCATACTATTATGGATAATACTATGGACACTATACTATCCATAATATGGATAGTATGGATTTATTACGACTGGTGGAGATTTGTGTTCATAGACCAGGCTAGAGAGGTCCTGAGAGCAGAGAGAATATGATGGAAGGTGTCAGTATTGTTGGTTTCTGGTGAGGGCTCTCTTTCCTGCTTGCAGATTGCCACCTCCTCTCTATGCCCTCACATGGTGGAGAGAGGGAGAGAGCTCTGGTGTCTCTTCCTCTTATTTATCTATTTGTTTGTTTGTTTTGAGATGGAATCTTACTTAGTTGCAAGGCTGGAATGCAATGGTGAGATCACGGCTCACTGCAACCTCCGCCTCCCGAGTTCAATCGATTCTCCTGCCTCAGCCTCCTGAATAGCTGGCACTACAGGCTCGCACCACCACGCCTGGCTAATTTTTTGTATTTTTAGTAGAGATGAGGTTTCACCGTATTAGATAGGATGGTCTTGATCTCCTGACCTCGTGATCTGCCCGCCTCAGCCTCTCAAAGTGCTGAGATTACAGGCATGAGCTACCGTTCCCTGCCTCTTCATTTTCTTAAAAGCATATCTTCCCTATCATGTTAGGGTGCCACCCTTATATGCCACCCTTAAGACCTCATTTAACTTTTACCACATCCTTTTAGGTCCTATCTCCTATTGGGGCTTAAGGCTTAAACATACGGATTTTTGGAGGAATACAAGCATTCAGTCCATACCATTCTGTCCCTGCCCCCTCAAGCTCATATCCTTCTTATATACAAATATATTTCTTCCATCCTTATATCCTCAAAACACTTAACTCTTTCCAGTATCAACTCTAAAATGTAAAGTGCAAAGTCTCATCTAAATATCACTTAAATCAGATATGAGTAGGTGAGACAGGAGGACAATTCATCCCGAGGCAAAACTCCTCCCCAGCTATAAACTTATGAAACTGGACAACTTTTGTGCTTCCAAACTACAATGGTGGATAGGTTTGAATAGATATTCCCATTCCAAAATTGATAAATAGGAATAAAGGATGGGGTGATGAGTCACAAGCAAGTCCAAAACTTAGCAAACCATATTTCGTCAGTTCTTATGGCTCAGGAAGAATCCTCTTTGGCTCAATGTTCTGCCCTCCAGGGCAATGGGGTAGCAGCACTCCCACCTGCTACTTAGTGGTGGCCCATCTTCCCCAGCTTCCTGTGAGGGCCCGGCCCTTTGAAATCAAACGGGAAGCAGCCTTATCCCTTGTCCTGTCCTGGGGGTGCAGCTCTGATGATCTCTGAATTATGTCGTGATTCTTCTTACCTTTTCTTAAAGGGTAACACATGCTAGCAGCCTTTTTTTCATAAAGTTCTACTTTATCTGTTTCCTTCACTCCCAGCTAACAGTGTTCTACTGGTATAATCCCATCCGTATTCCTGGCTTCTACATAGGGGCTGATTAAATTCCTAGTTCACACTCATACTGATCTCCTTATCAAACTTTGAATGTTCTCCTCAGAACACATTTTCTAGTTTTTTGCAACACAGGTAAAGAATTTTCCAAACTTCAAGTCATGGTTTCATTTTGCTTAATAATTTCTTCTTCAATTCATCTTTTAGAAAAATGTTACTATAGGCAACCAGGCTACACTTCCAACATTTTGCTTAGAAATCTCCTTAGTTAATATTGAATTCCATGACTCACAACTTCTATCTTGCACAAAACGCTGGTACAAAATTCAGCTTAGTTACTTTCCACTTTATTATAAGGATTGCCTTTCTTCCAGTTTCCAATAATCTATTCTGCATTTTCAATTAATACCTCACCACAAAGGCCATGAATGTGTGAATTTTTGACAAAAAATCTCTTGACATCATTTTCTATTTTTCTAGCATGCATCTTGAAGCTCTATCAGCCTCCAGCCATCCATCACCCAGTTCCAAAGCCATTTCCACACTTTTAGGTAGTTTTTACAGCAGCACCTCACTTCTTAGTACCAAAATCTATCTTAGGGTTCTCTTAGGCAAGAAAAAAAGTAGTTTATTAAAAGAAAATAGGTTACCTGATAAATGAAGGTAGCATGCCCCAATATCTGCAGTCAGCAAGCTGGGCACATAAGAGAGCCAATCATGAAGTTTTAGTCTAAATCCAAACACCTGAGAACCAGAAGAACTGATGGGATTTTTCCAGTCCAAATTTTGGTAGGCTCAAGATTCAGACACTGCCAATGTTTCAGTTTAAGTCCAAAGGCAAGGAAAGACTGATGTACTGGCTCAAGGCAGTTAGGCAGGAAGAGTTCCCTCTTAATCTCTGGGGAAAGTCAGCTTTTTGGATCTATTCAAGCCCTCAACTGACCAGGTGAGGCTCACGCACTTTAGGGAGGGTAATCTGCTTCACTCAAGTCTACTGAATCAGGTGTTAATCTCTTCCAGGAACACCCTCATAGACACATAGAGAATAATGCCTGGTCAAATGTCTGGACGCTTTGTGGGCCAGTCAAGTTGACACATAAAATTAATCATCACAGCTACCAATAAGGTATTTTCCTAATCATTAAAACATACACTGTGATTCATTTTGTTTGGGCTGACTTGCCTTATGTTACCATCCCTAAACCAATCATTACATATGGGAAGATGGGTTTACACACACTGATAGACAAATCTGGGTTATGTTTAAACCCTCAAATCGATCACATTTGCTTAGGTGACTCATTTTACTTCCTGGCAAGGTGTTTTGCTTATTCATTTCCAACTTTTGAGCAGATGTTGGTGAAACCATCCCAAAATTGATGATATTATTTTTCCAATGGATATTCAGAATTCAGGGTGCTTTTTCCAAAAGAAGGAAGAATGGCAGGCAGAGAATGCAAATTATTTCTCTGAATTGAAAGCTGATTATTTAAAATTTGTATTTTAACTGGTATATGAATTCACAAGATGCCTGAATGTCACGCTATACTATATATTCTGAATGAATTTCAATTGGCATTAATTAACATTTATCACAAGTCATCTATGAGCAAAGGGCCTTTTGAGTTACAGTAACTTAGGGCTCCATGAATATGTTTTGCTCCCTATTATAATTGCTATTCTGGGACATGAGAACTTGTCCTGTCATTTAAAAAGGAACAACACAAGTAACTACTTCAATCTTTGGATTCATATATAAAAAAGTCTCTCTGTGGGTCAGGAGTGCTATATATAGCACTCTGTCTGACTTAATTTGTCTGACTTAATACTCTTGTTAGATATGGCCTACTCTCCTTACTAAAAGTGGCTTAGTGCTGTACTTCTTGTATGTGTATGAAGGAACACAGGAAAAGCGTTTCCTCCCACTCTAAGTCACTACTCTAATTCAAACATGCCTCAAGTGTTCTTAGTCTAAAACCAAGGATGTTGGCAACTACAGCTTTTACCATTTTTTATCGCCCATTCTTACATAGGGATGTTTGTAAAGTCAATTTTAAAAATAAGATTGACTTTTTCTGTCATATATTATTTCCATATAGATTTTTGTGCATTGACAAGCCAATTTATTTACTGAAATTTTTTGGAAGGCTTTTCTCTAAAATAAGTAAACATTGTGATGGGTGGAAATCATACTTGTGTGATTAGCTGTCTGCAGCAGAAGCTGTTGGTGCTAGGTCTATATTACCTCATTGTAACTGTAATTGTCTTACCATTGTAGTGTTCACGGGACTTTCAGCTACCAACATTTGCATCTCATTGCCATGAAGCTTTCTTTGGTAGCTGGAACCCACTCAGCTTTGAACATGGACAGCAGCCATATCCAACATGCCTCCTCTTCTTCATCCCCAGTAATCGCCTTTCCCCCACTTTCAGAAGGCTAAACCGAATACTGGCAGAAGTTATTGCCAATTTCCTGCCTTTTGGGATATGGAATGGAACTCAGAGTTTCCAGTTTTCCACAGGTTTCCAGAATGTGCCATTGGCACTGAGTATAAGGGTAGCTTGCATAATAGCTCACACTTAATTGGCTACCCTTCTGTGGTGGATTTAATAGTGTTCCACCAAAATTCATAGCCATCAAAAAACTCAGAATGTGATCTTATTTGTAAATAGTTTCGTAGATGTAATTAGATAAATATAGAACCATCCGTGTGGAGAAGAAAGTAAAAATGTAGTAAATCAATAAGAAAAGAAAAAAAAACCAACCAAACCAAAAGTAATTAGATACTTTGTGATGAGATCAAACTCATTTAGGATGGACCCTAAATCTAATGAGAGTGTTCTTACAAGAGACAGGAAAGCGTGACCAGAGACACAAGGAGGAAAGACCTGTCAATGAGAGAAACTGAGGTTATATTGCCACAAACCAAGGAATATCAGTATCAACCAAAATCTGAAAGAGATGGAGATGGATTATCCCCTAGAGCCTTTGGAGTGAGCGTGTCCCTACTGACACCTTGATTTCAGACTTTTGGGCTTCAGAATGTGACAAAATAAGTTTTTGTTGTTTTAAAACACCAAAGTTGGGGAAACTTATTGCACATCTGTGCTCAATTTTGGCATCTCTGTGTTGGCTAGATGATCTGAGTTGTCATCTACAGGGGAATATTCAAGCATTTTTAACAGTTCTTTCAATGCTTTTCCTCATATTTCTAAAAGCCAGGAAAAATGACATTGATGGCAGTGATGCCACAGGTTTTGGCTATAGCACCATCTGCCTGAGCCAAGTTTGCTGCTCTCAGAGTTTGTTTTAGAATAACAATTATTGTTGACTTCACACAGATCCAGGCAAGTGATCCATAGAGTGCCATCAATGGGTGGGCACACAAGAGAAATTTCGTTTTAGTCTATGCTGTGAAACACACTCTCCTAAATAAGGAGTAATTTTATTTTTAACATGTTTTCACATTATAAGTAATGATATAATATTTTGGAGTTTTCAAATGCTCAGGAAACAGTTTTTAACAGTGATTTACTTTCTACCTTTTTGGTTGTTTATATGCATCAAACTCAATGTTCATATACTATAGCCATTCAAGTATGTCCCTATTTTAAGTTTTTAATGTTTAGTTACTAGGTTTTAGTAACGCAGATTAATAAAAGTTTCTAAGGAAAGTTAAAATGCAGCAGAAGCACAGCATCTAATTTAGGGCTTTAATTTTTTTTTTTTTTTTTTTTGAGACAGAGTCTTGCTCTGTCACCCAGGCTGGAGTGCAGTGGCGTGATCTTGGCTCACTGCAACCTCCATCTCCCCGATTCTCCCAGAAGAAGTGATTCTCCTGCCTCAGCCTCCCAAGTAGCTAAGACTACAGGCACCCACCACCACTCCTGGCTAATTTTTGTATTTTTAGTAGAGACGGGATTTTGCCATGTTGGCCTGGCTGGTCTCGAACACCTGACCTCATGATCCGCAACCCCCCCCCCCCCAGCCTCCCAAAGTGCCGGGATTACAAGCATGAGCCACCACACCTGGCCTAGAAATATTAAAATATAGGTGAGCAAGTTTAAATAGCAGTTGTGTTTCAGACAGATATCACGTGAAACTCTCATGATTGACTCTCCCATGTGTTCATTTAGTCCCGAATGCCACCATCAAGTATTCACCATTTCAGTTGTTCTCAGCAGGTTCCATTTGGCTACTAAGAAGAAGAGTCAGTGAGAAGGGTTAATTAGCTCACAGATACTTTTTATGCAGCTCTAATTTTGGATAAAACTTTGACTTTTTAAAACAGGAAGAATTGATTTCTAAACACAGAACACCATGACCCAGGATCAGGATTCTGGATTCGCACAGTCTTTTTGTTTCCTTTAAAATCATCAGCCATCTAAACCTGCCACTGAAGTTTTCCATTGTGTGTGGGGTAATGCCTCTTTCATGTTCTTGAATTTGCAATATTTTATTCTTTAATTTTAGATTAGGTGCATTATCAGTTTTAGGAAAAATCTAAAGTTCTGTGAAAATGTATAAGAATGTTTTCAGAACTTTAGCTTACATCATCTCTCTATTATCTATCTACCTATCTATTTATATATCAGTCGATAGAACCGCACCTTACACACACATTTACACATGCAAAAACACCCACATATGAGATTTTAACCAATTTTAATAGAAAAGATTTTGGTCTGTGTGTCAAATGCAGGGTGTTAAAAAATTTGTGAGATAATAGTAAGAAAAGACTCAAGACACATTTATGGTAAGCTTATTTTGAAGATATTAAATTTATGCAAATCATATAGCACATATAAAACAATTAAGTCTCCATATGCCTATCTGATATGATTTACCAAATATGAGATAGTGTACTATATGGCAAATTTTCTAGATAACTAAGTTTCCCTTTAGTCTTATCTTTTCTAATTATTCTTTGTTTTAATAAAAGCTAAAAATTACAAGAATAAATGCTTGTAGTATAGATAGGCTGATAGCTGAACATCTCAAATAGAGACACACTATTCTTGTATATTTTATACACAGAAAGTTAAATGGAAAGTTAAGCCACTATTAACATGTTAGATAATTTATTTCTCCTTATAGACCTGTAAAATATTTGAAAGATTTAGGTAATAATATTTAGATATAATTGCTGGTCCTTAGAATTAAACCATGCCTTAATTTGTTGTATTAGATTAATACTCTCCATAAGAATCTCTAGTTGAAAGTTCAGCTAGGGCTATTGACAGGAGTTGAGTAAAAGTTATGAAAGTTTTTTGTCTTTTTTTGTTTGTTTGTTTGTTTGTGTATTTCTTTTGAGATGGAGTCTCACTCTGTCACCCAGGCTGGAGTGCAGTGGCACATGATATTGGCTCACTGCAATGTCCGCCTCTCGACTTCAAGCAATTCTCCTGCCTCAGCTTCCTGAGTAGCTGGGATTACAGATGTGTGTCACCACCCCCGGCTAATTTTTGTATTTTTAGTAGAGACGAGGTTTCACCATGTTGGCCAGGCTGGTCTCGAACTTCTGACCTCGTGATCCACCTGCGTCGGCCTCTCAAAGTGCTGGAATTACAGGTGTGAGTCACCGCGCCCAGCTCAAGTTTGTTTTTAAGTCAGTAACACACAGTTGTATTAGTCTAAATCTGCAGTCCATAACACGCAAACATTTTCTTCTTTCATTTTCCTTAATTAATAATATTTTATCTTCCTATTTACTTATTAATAGGCTAAAGCCTTCCCCAATCTCAACCTCAAAGGTACACATTTTTTAAAATTTACATACATAATGTGTTATGTAGCTTCATGTGCTTCTTCCTTATTGTTCTTCACTGAATTGTCTATTTCTGAGTTCTGCCCATGATAATAAATGTAAATTCAATTCATTATCTCTGACTGCTTTACTTGATTCTAACATTTGCTTATACCACATTTTACTTATCTATTTTTCAATTGAAAGGCATTTAAGCTGTCTCAAATTCTTGCTATTTCAATCAATGCTAAAATGAATATCTTCGTATATGTCTTTTTGTAGATTTGCAAATGATTCTTCTAGGCATTACCAGAAGTGGAATTGTTTGATAATTTAAAACATTTCCTAAATGTAGTCTAGAACGGCCATAAAAATTTACATTTCTACAAGCAATGCATGAGGGCTATTTTTTCCACAATCTCAACAAAAATTTATGTCATTAAATGTAGATTATTGACTTTCTGGTGGATATAAAATCAGATCTCATTACTATATGTATTCCTCGAGTTTGTCTTAAAGTTATTCTCCGGATTAATGGTAATTGATATCTTTACAATGTTAAGTCTTCCTATATTTGTATTTTATATCCTTACATATTTTCATAAAGATTTTATTCAGTTTTAGGTTACTGTTCAATTTTTGTCAACAGTAATTGTTATTCTAAAACAAACTCTGAGAGCTACTTTTTGTAGCTGTGGAAAATACTATCTTATTTTCTTGTAAACACAAATAGAAAATATTTGCACTAATTTTCCCCTTCATTATATCCCTGACTACCTTGTTGAACTCAGTATATCTAATAAGTTATGGCTTGTGTTATGTTTTCTACATAAAATTATCATAGCCCTCATTATTTTATATCATTGCCTTGGCTAGATCTTCAACATCTTGTAGCAAATTAGTAATCAGCTGGTACACTCCACGAAACTGCTTTGCATTCTGATTGGTTGGCATTTATTCTGGACACGTTTTTAAATATTTTGAATGTTACCCCTGAAGAGATTAATCTTTATTTTGTTTTCAACTCTAAGTAGAATTCTTCTAAGCTTTTTCCCTTATATAGAATTATACAATTTATAAGTTATGGAGATAACCTTTATCAGATTGAGAAAGTATGGCTTATTCTTCTTGCCCTAAGATTTTCGAAATAAATAGTTGTTGAACACAATCCAATGCTTTGTACTAATGTGCTTTTCTTTCTTTCTTTTTTTTTGTGGCACCTTATAGGGATATATTTTCTGTTGACAAACTACGCGTTTGTTGCTGGGACAAACGGTTCTTAGTTGTGATTTATTATTTTAGTACAATATTGGAATCATTTAGCTAATAATTTAATTAGAAACTTGGCTCATCTTCACAGGTAAATTGACCTGTATTATTATTATTATTATTATACTTTAAGTTCTGGAATACATGTGCAGAACCTGCAGGTTTGTTACATAGGTATACACGTGCCATGGTAGTTTGCTGCACCCATCAACCTATCATCTACATTAGGTATTTCTCATAATGCTATCCCTCCCCTAGTCCCCCAACCCCCAACAGGTCCTGGTGTGTGATGTTCCCCTCACTGTGTCCATGTGTTCTCATTGTTTAACTCCCACTTATGAGTGGGAACATGCGGTGTTTGGTTTTCTGTTTCTATGTTAGTTTGCTGAGAATGATGGTTTGAAGCTTCACCCATGTCCTTGCAAAGGACACAAACTCATCCTTTTTTATGGCTGCATAGCATTCCATGGTGTATATGTGCCACATTTTCTTTATCCAGTCTATCATTGATGGGCATTTGGGTTGGTTCCAAGTCTTTTCTATTGTGAATAGTGCTGCAATAAACATACATGTGCATGTGTCTTTATAGTAGAGTGATTTATAACCCTTTGACTATATACCCAGTAATGGGATTGTTGGGTCAAATGATAGTTCTGTTTCTAGATCCTTGAGGAATTGCCACACTGTCTTCCACAATGGTTGAACTAATTTACACTCCCACCAGGAGTGTAAAACTGTCCTATGTCTCCACATCCTCTTCAGCATCTGTTGTTTCCTGCCATTTTAATGATCACCATTCTAACTGACATGAGATGGTATCTCATTGTGGTTTTGATTTGCATTTCTCTAATGACCAGTGATGATGAGCTTTTTCTTCATATGTTTGTTGGCTGCATAAATGTCTTCTTTTGAGAAGTGTCTGTTTATATCTTTTGCCCACTTATTTATGGGTTTGCTTGTTTTTTCTTTCAAATTGTTTAAGTTCCTTGTAGATTCTGGATATTAGCCCTTTGTCAGATGGATACATTGCAAAAATTTTCTCTCATCCTGTAGGTTGCCTGTGCACTCTGAAGATAGTTTCTTTTGCTGTGCAGAAGCTCTTTAGTTTAATTAGATCCCATTTGTCAATTTTGGCTTTTGTTGCCATTGATTTTGGTGTTTTATTCAAGGCTACACTAACCAAAACAGCATTGTACTGGTTCCAAAACAGATATATAGACCAATGGAACAGAACAGAGGCCTCAGAAATAACGCCACACATCTATAACCATCTGATCTTTGACAAACCTGACAAAAAGAAGCAATGGGGAAAAGATTCCCTATTTAATAAATAGTGTTAGGAAAACTGGCTGGCCATATGCAGAAAACTGAAACTGGACCCCTTCCTTACACCTTATTCAAAAATTAACTCAAAGTGGATTAAAGATGTAAACATAAAATCTAAAACCATAAAATCCCTAGAAGAAAACCTAAGCAATACCATTGAGGACATAGGCATGGGCAAAGACTTCATGATTGACCTGCATTTTTAATCTGGCACTGTCTTTATCAGTTTTGGATCCAGATTATACTAGTCTCAAAAAATCAATGACTACTACAACTTATAGAAATAATTATTATATACTTTGGGTGCTTATCATGTTAGGAATCTTCTAGGCACTTCCTCTGTACAAACTGTGAAATTATGGCATAACCCAATACATCTTAAAGTGAGATCATAGACTTACTTTGAAAATTTTTAACCTATTATCTAGTACTTTATCACAATTACTATCATCATTTAATACAGATGACTTATAATATCAACTAACATTAACTACATACTTGAAATCTTCAAAGTCTCACACATTTATTAATTTATATATTCTCCTGAGAATACAACAGCAATGATAGGTAGACACTATTATTAGTCTAAATTTACATAAGGAACACAGTGGATCTGTTGAAGTCGCATAGCTTATAATAAATGGCACCAGGATTTGAACCTAGCCAGCCCCTAATTATTATGATACACTGTGCATCAAATAATAATTATTTCTAACAACTTATAAATAAGAGAAAATTTCTGCTCTGAGCGAGTTTGATAAAAACCTCATTGTGATAATAATGGTTTGCATTTTTTA
This sequence comes from Homo sapiens, assembly GCF_000001405.40. Classification (NCBI taxonomy): domain Eukaryota; kingdom Metazoa; phylum Chordata; class Mammalia; order Primates; family Hominidae; genus Homo; species Homo sapiens. The sequence continues at coordinate 80,030,487 of NC_000003.12, forward strand.
AGAAAGTAAAATTACCAGCAGTTTAATTTCTTTAATGGTAACTTGTCTCATCAAATATTGCTACAATATTGCCCAGCAGGTTAAAGCACAGGCTTTTATCAAAATAGCTAAGCTGATTAATAACAGAAGCTATCCAAAGAGAAGTTTTTAGACAGTATGTTTTAGATAAATTGTAGCAAAATAAAACATAATTGTAAATCAAAGCTATAAGAAATAATATAGCCTATATACCATTATTTACATCTAATGTTCTTTTAAGATGTTTAATATTTGTTTATAGACTGAAGAAAAATCACTTAAAATTATGCTGTCTGTCCTTCAGTAGTAGTATTATTGAGTTTCTAAAGTAATTTAGGTGATTATTTTTATTGTCTTATTATAAAAGACTTTTTCCCCTCTGACAGCCAAACTTGTTTTATTTATAATTCAATCTTATAATTTATATAAATAGAAACTGAAAATGTATAATTTTCAACTAAAAGGTAGTATTTAGATCCCAGGTTCAGTGTTTACCTAAATAAGGGCTAGTCTCTTTCTTTCGAAGACTGTTTCTCTGCAAGTTTGATCATGTTGATTTATTAAACAACGCCAGAGTAGTGCATAGGGGGGTTATGACAGTGAAAAATTATTTGAAGTGTTCCATCTATCTTATCAATTTCATTAACCATTATCTCCTGCTGAACTGTAGGACACTTGGTGTCAGGCGGTATGTTTATTGACAACACTTTGGCATTGTGCGTTTTTCTACTGTAACTGAAACATCTACACTGACTAGAGAGATGAGAAGAAGGTGGCAAGAATTAAGCACAGCTTTGTAAGAAATGTAAAGTGACAAGTGTTTCCTTAACTTGAGGCGGCTGTAGGACCAAAGCAAATGAACAGGAGGGTGATTTCTATGCTACTCACATACCTTTTAGTAGTAATTAGTGATTAAAATTTATGATCTGTATAGTTTTAATTAAAATGGTATTAAGCCTTCTAATATCAGAAACACAAATTAACTCCAAATGCTAATGTAAAGAAATACATTACATCTCACATGTGAAATCCCAGGAGTGTGCAATTTTTTTTCCTATCAGATCAGTATCAAATTATCTAATACATATTTTTATATTTTATGTGTATGTTTGAAAGATATTTAGAAAAAATACAACTGTGTTAACTGAAAGAAACTATGTATAATCCCCATATTATGGAAATTTAATAAATGTTTAATGAATAAATGATTTATCAATATTTATGTTCTACAAATATTTAAAAATTTATTTATATTTATCTTTTCAGCAAACAAGTGTACAAATCAATAACATATGAAGTAGGCTGAATAATGGCTGTCAAAGATACACACATCCTAATCGCTGGAACCTGTAACTATTACCTCATATGGCAAAAGGGACTTTGTGGATGTGGTTATTTAAGGATCTTGAAATGGAGATAATCCTGAATTTTCCAGAGGAGTCCCCATGCTGTCACAGGGTCCTTATAAGAAGGAGGTATTTTAAATGGTAAAGATCAGTAGCATTTTTACACTTTGCACATTGTGTGATTTAAAGCAAAAACTTCAGTGGTATAATCCATGTAACAGTGGAAGTGGCGATAAACTCATAAATTGTATTGCAGCCTTAAGATACAAAAAAAGATCTTGAGCAAAATGAAATAAAATATTTTTATAAAAGCAAAGAAGAATTTCAGAAAAGCTAGTAAAACCTAATGTTTACTGTTTTGCCATAATAAAATTGTTACTTGTTTTAAAGTAAAATATTACATAACCTTATTTTGTGAATGGCAAGTGAAAAGTTTTCACTTTAATGTAGTTATTTTGTTTAAAAAATACTAATGTAATTGATATTTTGGCTCACTCATAATGATATCTTAACATTTTTGAATGGATGAATAAGTAAGTTATTAAGAAAATAAAGTCTATGTTGACTACACATAATTACAGGATTTGGTTGCGTCCATGCCCAGTAATTAATTCCCAGGAAAAACTTAATTTTGTGGTAACTGCTACTGATTTTATAATTATGAAAATACGTTAAGCAGTGTTTTATTTATTTAGCAAACACAGTCATAGGTAAATGTTATTTTTTAATTATTTATTTATTTTGAATTATACATAATAGATGTACTTTTTTGGGGTAATACATGTGATAATTTGTTACATTCACATAATTTGTAAAGATCAAATCAGGGTAACTGGGACCTTCTCTATTAAAAATATTTTTCTCCTCTGCTATAGCCATGCCATGTGTTTATGAAATGGATTTGTGAATACCTAAACCATTGTTTTTTGCCATTTCAATAATAATGCATATAGTTGTATGATTATTCCATGAGGATGTCTAAGGAACAAAGAATAGCCATTCCATGAATTATTCATTTGCTGGCTAAAGGTATAATAAAACAATTTATTGCTGCAAAAAAATAGAAGGAAGCAGTGATCAGAGGGATAGAAGTTTATGTTATAAGGAAGCAGAGAGAGGTTTGAAGATGCTAAGCTGCTAACTTTGAAGATGAAGAAAACATCCCAACCCCACTCTTGTGGACTAAGGAATGCAGCAAATGCAATTCTAGAAGCTGAAAAAGGCAAAGAAACGGATTCTCTCCAAGAGCCTCCTGAGCTAGCACAGTCCTTCCAACAATTAGTTTTGGTCCATTAAAACCCATTTCAGATTTCAGACCACCAGGACTATAACATAATTTTGTTGTTGTTGTTCTAAGCCATGAAATTTGTGGTAATAGGTAACAGTGGCAACTAGAAAGCTAATATATCACCTTATAAATAATGGAAGATATATCCACAATTGCAATTTTATCATAGCAAGTCTAGATTAGTTTGCAAACACTTTTTCTACTTTCTCAGCTTCCATTCACTTCTCAGTTCTTAATAATATATTTGTTCCTTCTCCTCAGTCCTGTTTTAATTTTTAGTTATTTCAAATGGTTTGCCAGGTTCTGTGACAAGGTTTAAGATATAATAAATTTACTAAGCTATGATCTCTGTTTCACAAGACTAACAAAGAATTACAGGAAAAATGAAACAAAACCACAAAGTTAAGAACTACTTGCTAGAGTTGCCTGGTCCAATGCAGTAGTCACTAGCCAGATGTGGCTACTGAACATTTGAAATGTGGCTAGTTTGGATCAAGATGTGCTGTAAGCATAAAATAAGTACATACATGATTTCAAAGACTTAAGTACCAAAAAAAGTAATACATTTCAGTAACTTTTATATTGATTACACATTACAATAATATTTTGGAGATAATTGGCTAAATAAAATATATTATTAAATTATCTTTTCTTGTTTCTTTTAATTTTTTAATGGGGCTAGGGATACTTAAAATTATGTATGTGGCTTATTTCTACTGAAGAGTGCTGATCTAGATTACATTCTTTGAGAGTGCAGGGGTCTGTTATGGGTTGAACTGTGTCCCCTCAAAACTTATATGTTGAAGTACTAATCTCCAGTACAACAGAATGTGACCGTTATTTGGAAGTTGGGTTTTGCAGATGTAGTTAATTAAGATGAGGTCACCTGGGTGTGCACTATACTACTGTGACTGTTGCCCTTAATAAAATGGAAATTTAGCTGAGTGTGATGGCTTCCATCTATAATCCCAGCACTTTAGGAAGCCAAGGTGGGAGGATTGCTTGAGCCCAGCAATTTAAGAACAGCCTAGCCAATATATGGAGACCTTACCTCTACTAAAAATTTTTTTAAAGCCTGGTGTGGTGGTGGGTACCCTTAGTTCCAACTTCTCAGGAGGCTGAGGTGAGAAGATCTCTTGAACCTGAGAAGTCAATGCTGCAGTAAGCCATGATCATGCCACTGCATTTTTTGTCTCAAAATAATAATAATAAGTTAATTAAAAATCAAAAGGGAAATTTGGACCCAGAGATAGTCAAAGTGGGATATACCATGCAATACAATGTAAAGATGAAGGCAGAAATAGGCTCAATGCATGTACAAGTCAAGCAAAGATTGCCAGAAAACCATAAGGAGCTGAAGGAGAGGCATGAAACTGATTCTTCTTCACAATACTTCAAATTAACCCATCATGCTAATACTTTGATTTCAGACATTTACCTCCAGATCTGAGACAATAAATTTCTGTCGATGCTGCTGATTATAATGCTGTTGATTATATGGTACCTAGCGATGTCATTTCTAGCAGAGTAATACAGGGATCTTTTTCAGAATAATGTATTTAGTTATGCAAATAAAATGTATATTGCTATAAAGAAAACAATAAAGAAATATTTGAACTAAAAAGATATTATGAGTAACATGTATTAGTTCTTTTTCACACTGCTATAAAGAACTTCCCTGAGACTGGGTAATTTATAAAGGAAGGAGGTTTAACTGACTCACAGTTCCACATTGCTGGGGAAGCCGCAGGAAACTTAGAATCATGGCAGAAGGTGAAAAAGAAGCAAAGCACCTTCTTCACAAGGCTTCCTTTTTCAGCTTCCTTCACCTTCCTCCTTCAGCAGGAAGGAGAAGTGCAGAGTGAAGGGAGAAGGTTCCCTCATAAAACCATTATATCTCCTGAGAACTCACTCATTATCATGAGAACAGCATAAGGGAAACGGCTCCCATGGTCCAATCACCTTCCTCCCTTGACACGTGAGGATTACAGGTCCCTGCCTCAACACGCGGGGGCTACAATTCAAAATGAGATTTGTGTGGGAACTCAGAGCCAAACCATATCATAATATGTATGCTTCTTTATTAACACATTTTATAAAAAGACCTTCTGTGACTTCTATTGTCTTCCTCTGTCATTACCTTTTCCGTAACATTGGATTCTACATATGACTCATTCATTCCTAGAAGTATTTTTTTCTTTAGCTTTGCCGATTGTAGTCTATTCTGGTTCTCTGTTTCCTCATCTCTCACTTGGCCTTCAAATACGGGAAATTTTAAGGGTTCTATCTTCACACCTTTTCTTTTCTCCCTGTTAGACCCTATTTCATGAACTACTTTCTGATGACTCTTCCATCCTGACTTATCTTCTGAAATCCAGAAAATATTCTTAATTGGACATTTCCACTTGTATTTCTAACAGGGATCTCATGTTCAACTTTGCTTCTATTTTAAAGTGTCAATTAGGCAAAGATTTATAGTTGTTAGGAGCAGAATCCATTTAAGTATACTGCTCTCTTTATTTCACTTGCCACATTCAATTGGTGCTATCAGTTTTATATCATAACTTTTAAAGTTTTAATAAATATTCTTTTCTCCTGGCATCACTTTAGCATAAACATTTTTTTGTTGTTTGTTTCATACTTGGGTTATTGAAAGCACCTACCTCCTGGATCCCCAAACTCCAAATTTAGAGTCTCTGGAGAGTCATTTAGAAATGCAAATATGATAAAGTCACTATCTTGCTTCCAAAAATTTACCATTTTCTCCATATTCCGAACCCACTGTCATGCCTAATGCCCAGACTTCATTAAGTAATCCACAAAACACAAGACATTTGAACATCTAACAGCCCTGACTCCCTGAAACATGTAGATTGTGAAAAGACAGGTTAAAAGGCTGGGAGATGGGGAATCTTTGAGTCCTGGGAGGTCACAGGGGCACCTATAGTGTGGAATAACAAACTGCGATCAATTACTGAAGGTAAAAATAATCTGTTATTTATAAAAGGTATGTGCAAACTCCAGGCAGCTGCTTTACTGGATACATAAGAAAATGACAAACAAGAAGAAAAAAAGAAAAAAAAAAGAGAGAAAGAAAGAAAGGAAGAAAGGGTGAAATATTCATACCCTTGGTTATTGCTATCTGTAGTAGTAGCTAAAATGAAATTAAGGGAGAGTGATGAGGAAAATAGTGGCCTGGGCCAAGCTGAATTCCAGCCAGCCTGTGCTACAGCCCCTAGTCTCAGACCCTCTTCCAAAGGGAAATGTTATGCTGAAATAACACATTGCAATAGTTAGAATAATTCAAAAGAGAATGAGATAAACAATGAGGAAAGATAAAAGGGAGGAAAAGGGGAAAGACTCCTCCCAGCAGAGTTGAAATAATTAAATGGTTATTAAGAAGTAAAATGCATAAAGCAGACATTGATAAGGGTTAAAAATACTTAATGCAACACTTTTGGAAGTTGGGTGGGCTGATAGGATCTCTTGTTAGTCCATAGTGTTAAAGAGCCAAAACAAATACGCTGTATTCAACCTAGTATGGGTGAAATTTTTAAAAACTGGAAGGCAAAGATGACATGAAAAACCTGTCCTCAAAAACTTAGGACAATGGTCCCACAATCTAGTCACTATAAAGATTGATTAAATAGTCAGTGTCCTTCACCTCAATGCCCAGTTGGGTACTCAAGGCCATCTGCACTTGAGTGGGTACAATGGTCAGTCAGTACATGGAAAAGAGATGTTACTAGGACTCCTTCTCATGGGAACTCCATGCACTGTGGTTCCCAAACGTGATAAATTCCTACCAGGGACTAAAGTTAGGTTGGGAGGACCTAAGAAGAATGCAAGGGTTGATAGGATTAAGTTGAAAATTGGATGAAAAGTTGATATATTTAAGCAGATTTTATGCAAAATGCTTTCGTCTTTTTATCTGGATGTATTATGGAAATGGATTATGACTGGAGAACACTTTACCTAGTACTATGAAACAGAAGGTGTGTAACAGACTTAATTGGATATGCTAAATGGAAACCAATAAGATTGCCACACAAATTAACAACTTGTGTGGACAAGGTTAGAATGTCAGCATCTTGTTGTTTTATTTGGACTTGGTGGGACACATATTTTATAGGTGAGAATAGTTGCTAAATCTTGTAGATAAAACCACTTGAAAAGAGTCTCAGAGTTCTGGGCAAAAGCCTGTGGGCACAACCCAGCATTAACTGCTGGGATTTCAGATTCCAGTATTTCCATTAGAGTGGCAAGTATTAGCTTGCTATCAGACATTAATTGAAACTGCCCCTATGTAAATGATGTAAAATAATATTGAAACCTGAAATAAACATTATCTGGGGTGATGTCAATAAAGCAGTCCAATGGGCAGGATAGTAAGTAATTGGAACTGTTTCATGATAAGATGGAAATGGTTTGTATAGAAACATAGTCCCAAAGGAATGTCAAAAAAAATTATTCAATGTATTCAGAAGCTGGTAATCTATTTTCCTGTAAGACCGGCATTCTAATCACCTGGGGATCTGCCTGATCGGATTGCCATTTACATAGCTCTCCATGACCACAAACGGATGGCTTGGTTTATGGACGGCACTTCCAAGTGAAAGAGCAGCATCTTGTTTGGAAGGCTAACTACTCTGATCAAAGAAAGTAAAAGTAGACTAGCCTGGTGGGCTAAAAACTGCCTGCTGCTTGGCCCTATGGTTGAGTTTTTATTGACTCATGGCCAATGAGCAGCCCATGGCACGGTCATATGCTCAAGCAGAAAGGCAATGTAAAAGTGTGCTATTAAAGGGTTGAGATCATATGGGGAATGGTCCTATGGAAATAACTTTTGGAATTTGAGGAGTGAATTGAAGTAGGATATGCTGATTTTCACTGAAGGAACCCTATTCCGGAATGAAAAATTGATAGAAGCCAGTGAGTAGACACCCTGATGTGCTTGCTTCAGGGGTCACCTGGATTTTTGAAACGAGTTAACCTTAGGGATCTGCATCAATACGGGTATGGACTACGTCTAGACATATTCCTCTTGTACTCTATTAATCATGTCAATAGATTCTTCCTCATGGTAGTTAATCTCATGATGTGATTATTAATAGTGATTTGTGTTTTTTGTTTTACTTTTATTTTTCATAATAATTTCATATTGGGTTGTATGACTGCTTCAAGAAAAGAGTTTTGCATTTGTCTTTTTTGAAGCTCTGAGAATTCAACAAGTTTCAAATTATTTTTTATGCTAATCACTCACGTTGACAATCCTTTCACCAGACACGTAGTGTAAATTTGGATTCTCCACATATGTGTGACAGATTTTTTGTCATGAAATTTTATAAAAATTCCCATGATCTGTCTTTTCGGTTGAATTGTGTCCCCCCAACTCATTCCCAAAATGATGTGCTGATGATCTAACCCTGGTACCTGTGAATGTGAACCTAGTTAGAAGCTGTTTGGAAATGTAACAAAGTTAATATGAATTCAGACTGGATTATGAACAGCCCTCAAAGACTGGTCTTCCTACAAGAAGAGAGATTTGGATGCACACAGATATATGTAAGGAAGAAAATCATGTGAGGAAGGATGCAGATATTAGAGTGATACAGCAACAAAGCAAGGAACGCCAAACCTTTCTGCAAGAAGCAATTTCAAACTAAACTCTCTCTACTTTTATTTTCAATGAAAAATATCTTGGTTTGAAGCACAAGAAGTCTATATTGGTTCAGTACATGGTGGCGTTAAGAGCAGAAAGCTCTCATCTTAAACCCTTCCCTACAAATAACCTATGCTGCTTTTATAGAAAAGTATTGATTACTAACATGTCATAAACTATTTTCCTGTAATACTTTACCCTCCTGTCCCTTTTATTAAGATTCTTTCTTTCCATTCTTATTCCAACTCCTGTGTTTTTATTTACTTATTTTTGAGATGGAGTCTAGCTCTGTTGCCCAGGCTAGAAATCTTGGCTCATTGCAACCTCCATGTCCCGGGTTCAAGCGATTCTCCTGCCTCAGTCTCCAGAGTAGCTGGGACCACAGGCACCCACCACCACGCCCGGCTAATTTTTTATATTGTTCATAGAGACGGGGTTTCCCCGTGTTATCCAGGATGGTCTCGATCTCCTGACCTCATGATCCACCCGCCAAAGTGCTGGGATTATAGGTGTGAGCCAACTTGCCCGGACCCAACTCCTCTATTCTTGAGCTAAGCCTCCTTTGAAACCCTCAGGATGAATTATGCACTTTATTTGTTTGTATTTCTGCATATATCAGAAAAAAATCATTAAAATATTAACTTACTCAAAACTCAAATTATATTTTCTTATTTTATAGCCCAGGGCTTTGCACAAAATACAATCTTTTTTTTTTAATGAGAAAACAGAGGACAATATTTTTGATATGTCATCTTTAACATTAATAGTAATTAAAAATTAGTAAAAATAATTACATGACCTTTCAAAGATCTTTGTTCTAAAATAACATAAATAAAATGGTTTGCAACATTTTAATACAGAGAAAGGATTGTGCTACCTGCGTTTTAAATGGAATATGTTCAGTGATGCCAGTATTATGTCATTATTTGAACCTAATGCTACATTTGAAAAATATATAAACCCATACTTACCATACTCCCTATAGCAACCAACCTAGCAAGGTATATCAGATGGCCTCAATGAAAAATTTTCTATATTAATTTTCTTTGAATCCTCAGTATCATGGCACACAAAGGAGCTCAGAATATGTCATATGAGCTAATGAGTCAGTGGATGCCTAAAAATGATTTATAAAAAATGATTTTTACAGTCAAAAGCCACCAATGAAATATATCCTTCATTCATCTTATGTTAAAGTAGGTATTTTTGAAATATGAGAAATGTATTGATTTCTGAATTATGTGCCAGGTTTCATTTTAGATGGCTTTACAAGGCTGTTTTCCAATAGTATCTAGTACTCAATAGCCCTTGGGTGAATTCATAATTATTTTGTATATGGTTACAGTTGCATTCATCTCTCTGCCATTCTTTCAAAGTTGGCTGCATTCAGGAGAAAATCAAGCTGAACTCACTAAGTAAACAAAGAAAACTCCTTCCAAACCATGTGATAAGGAGAGTTTTCATTTGGCAGAGCCAAGCTCTTGTCTGATGAATTAAATTATACAGTCCATTAGAATAGAAAATATATCTTATGCCAACTTTATTCAACCCATGGATCACGGATTTGGCCTTTTGGCTGAATTATATCTTTGACAGTTGCTTTTGGGTTGCTTCCACAAAGAAAATATTAACGTCTTTTCAAACCTCAGAATGACACCACCTGTTCATTTATTCATGAGATGGACATTTGCTGAACATCTACTATGTGGAAATAATGCCAATAGGAAGTTCATATTCTATAGGAAAGAATTAAAAAAAATATAGTCTCTATATAACAAGTCTGCAACGTATGTAAAATGCTACAGGTCTGCAGCAGATGAGGAAATTATTTTAAATTGTCATGTGGCCATGAATAACTGAGTAGGCTTACTGAGATGACTCTTCACGGCCATGTCTTCAGTTGTAGTGAGTAGATTTAATGCACAAGGAGTATTAGACAGGTGTCTTTCCCCACTCTCAGTGGTCTATCTTGCTAAACTTATGTGCATCAGCATCCCTCTAGATACAACCATGGCAGATTCTACCAATTAATCAGAGTTGGCTAAGCCTCAAGATAGTCTTTCTGTCACTTTTGTTGATAGAGATTAAATTCTGATGAAACTTGTTAGAACTTACTATAAGAGTAACCAAGAATATTCAGCACAGCAATGTTGAGAAGAAAACCCAGTGAGAAAGACACATTTACTTGCGAATGTGACTTACATTCAACCATATCAACATACCTTGAAAATAAATTATATGTGTGTGTGTGTGTGTGTGTGTGTCCCCAGTTGATTCTTTGTGTCTGTGGGTTCCGCAACTGTCAGTTTGAACCACTATGAATAAAAAGTATTCAAAAACTAATAATGAACCAAAAGTGAAAATACAGCAATACAAATTATACAAATAAAACCTATACGGTGTAAGAACTATTTACATAGCATTACATGGTATTAGGCATTACGAGTAATCTAGAGTTGATTTAAAGAATACAGGAGAATGTATGCAGATTATATATGCACTTACTATGCCATTTTATACAAGGGACCTGAGCATCCACAAATTTGGGTGTCAAGTGTCCTTGAACTAATCACCCGTTGATACCAATGAAGGCATGTGTGTGGGGTTGGTGGGGGGGGCCTATGCTGTTTTAGGATTTCTTAATTCTTTATATTATAAACATATATTTGGTAGATGTTTTAATAAAAGGAAAATCCATTTTAATTTTCTAATTACTTTGAATTATTTGATATAATATGATTATAATAAATATTTGCTAAGACCATGGGACATGCATGTAAAACTAATATCAACTTCTAAAGCAAGCAATATATTTTTTAAATCTTTAATCTTTTTAACCTTTTATAGAAATATAAAGAATTTGTATTATTATGTAACTAGAAAAGAAAACATACATATACTCATACCAAAGCCAAAATTAGCATAAAAAGTAGAAATCATACACAACCTTTTATAAATACAGTGGATTTTGCACTTAAACTGTTCATTGATATGAAATTGTCTATATAGCTCTCTAAATATGATTATAATACTTGTCTTAAGAAAACAACAGAACCTCTCTCAAATAACTTCTTTGGGACCTGTTACTTGTCTTTTATGTTGACTTGCACTTTTTAAATCTGTAGCAATTATTTTTCTCATAGTGAGTTGCATTTCATTGGCACTGCTGTTAATATCATGTTTGATTAGCCATTAGTGGTTTAACTCACCACGCGAACTATGAAACTGTTGTTCATAAGATAAATATTAATATCATTTATTTTCTATGACATTTTAACGCTAGAAACATTGCTGCTAACGTAATTACAAGATGGTCTGGAGCTGTTAATTCCACAAAGTTCATTTGTGATTTCAATGGAATTCTGAAATTATGATAGTTACCAAATAATTTATGCAAAGTAACGAGTGCTTCATTTTACTCACCGGAATTAAAAAGATGTCCACATTATAGCTTCGTGTTTTTAAAGAGACTTAATTATCTTTTATTCTTTTATACATAATGACAGTGAAATTTGTTTTTAGATATGATGCTTTTACACTTTCGTTGAGATTAACAGAACTAGAAATAAATCACTGGCATAAAAATTCCTCTAATGTGAGATATGATAACTTACATTATTATATTCATTTTTCAAGATATCTGTGAGTTGGTATTGTTTTCTGATAAAATGTTATAACAATTTTATCATTACTTTTATACATTTTTTAAAAATATTTTCTCTACTATATTAACCTGAACACCCTAAAATACTCATATTTTACTCTTAGTAAATCTCTATATAATTATAACTTCAAAATAATATTGAAAGGCTGATATTAATAAGTACTTCTCTGGTACACTAAAATCATATTTTGCTTGTAATTTTGGGGGGTAAATTTTTATGTCATTTTTCTTCACTAATGCAATATCTCTTTTTGTTTTACCAAACTGTCATAAACCATTAGCTTAAACTAACAACAAAATTAAATCCCTTTAGTTTTAATTTCCTGCATTTTTTAATTTCAAAAGTTTCACTAAATATTCAATGCTTTTGTAGAGCTTTCTCTAGAAACCAGCTTGTTATAACTTTCCAGCTTGATAATACTTTGTTTACAGATTATGTGTACATTCAAAATTATAGATCTTTTTTCATGAACGCATTTTATCCTATATATAACAATCACTGATCTTATTTTTTAAAGAGACCAAGAACTTGTTTTCTGATAGACATGGCCATTAGATATATATTCCCAAATACAGCTTGATAGATTGCCTTTTGTTTTTTGTTTTTTTTTTGGACCCACTTTTTCTTTCCAGCTTTTTCCAGTTCTCATATGTAAATTTATTTTATTATTAGCATTCAATAGCCTGCTGTAAACTGACTCCCTGTAGAAATGAAAACAGAGGGAGTAATTTGCAAGCAAGCTACACTTATTGCCTGATTCTTTTTACCTTAAAACTATTGAGAAAGATTCTTTCCTTGACCAAATTTTACTTAGGCTTCTTTGAGCCCTCATTTTGAGTAGGCTTCATCCTGGGGCCATCTTTGGCCTGCTTAGTTCAATTATAGCAAGAATCCAGCCAAGGCAGATGAGCAAGAATTCCCACCTTGATAGCGGATAGCCTTCAATACCCGATCTAAGAAATCACACCTTTGATAGCTGAGCACCCTGGCCTTCCTTCTGTAAGAATCCCGTTAGATCACATTCCAAAAGAAGCTCCCTACCCTTATTGTCTCCTCTTAGTAATTTTCCATCCACTGAGCCCTTACTTCGTTCCTTGGCTATAAATTCCCACTTTTCTTTATTTTAGTCATAGTTGAGGCCAGTCCTCCTATAGCAATACCCCTATTGCAAAAGTCATGAATAAAGATTTTCTTACCATTTTAATGAGTGTCAGGATTTTTTTTCTTTAATACTGTTCAGGCTAATGTATACAGGTTAGTATTTACATCTATTTTTTTAAATTATAAAACATTTAACAAATCTCTTATCCTTGAGACCTTCAACTAAAGAGCAATAAAAGTTCAACAATATAGAGACTAAAAGTATATTGAGGCATAAGCTAAATTAAAATAAAAATGAAAACTAGGAAAAAATATAATGACCACCCAAACATCTGACAAAGATCTTAATACCTGAAAAATAGCAAGGGCTTTTAAAACCCAATATAATAATAATAACAATAAAAACAGGGCCAGGCATGATGACGTGTGCCTGTAATCCCAGCATTTTGGGAGACCAAGGCGGGTGGGTCACCTAAGGTTAGGAGTTCGAGGCCAGCCTGACCAACATGGTGAAACCCTGTCTCAACTAAAAATACAAAAATTAGCCAGGCGGTAGTAATCCTGTAATCCCTGTAATCCCAGCCACTCAGGAGGCTGAGGCAGGAGAGTCACTTGAGCCTGGGAGGCAGAAGTTGTGGTGAGCTAGATACCGCCACTGCACTACAGTCAGGGTGACATAGTGAGACCCTGTCTCAAAATAAAATAAATAAATAAACAAACAAAAATAAAAAGCATAAAAAAGTCATGAAGATAAATTTGAATTACAAATAAAAATGATATGCAAACAGTTTTTAAATCCATGAATAGGTGTTCAAACTTAGAGACTTCTAATTGTCTCTTAATAGCCATTCTTTTTATTTAGTAAAAATTACTGTAAAACAAACCTGCATCATAGTTGCTTCCCTTACAGATACGTATGACCATGTAGCTAGAGGTCTCAAAATGACAGGTAAGTGCAACTGTTGGGTAGACATCCAGGAAGTCTCCTTAAGAGAGAAAAGCACTTCTTTCAACATCCCACTTTTTATCTTTTTATCCCTTTTTTGAATATAATTGTGATAGTTGAGTCTCCAGCAGTTGTTGGGAAGATTAACCTGAAATTGGAGACCTGATCCTGAATTACAAGCAAATTTGTGGTGCTGCCATTATCAGTCCTAGGTTACCCTTTTTCATATTCAGTTTTATTTATTTATTTATTTATTTATTTATTTTTTCATTGAGACGAGTCTCGCTTTGTCACCCAGGCTGGAGTGCAGTGGCACCATCTCAGTTGACTGCAACCTCTGCCTCCCAGGTTCAAGCGATTCTCCTACCTCACCCTCCTGAGTAGCTGGAATTGCAGACACCCGCCACCACGCCCCACTAATTTTTTTGTATTTCTCGTAGAGACAGGTTTCACCATGTTGGCCATGCTGATCGCAAACTCCTGATCTCAAGTGATCCACCCACTTCCGCCTCTCAAAGTGCTGGGATTACAGACGTGAGCCACCATGCCCGCCCTTCAGTTTGATTTTTTAATGGCAGAGAAATGAGACATTGTGTGGTATCAGCTCCCATTATTTTAATTATTTTATGAGCACAAATTTTATTCTATATACAAAATTAATTCAAATGATTTTTAGTTTTGGGTTAGCAAAGATAAAAAAATGGTTGAGACTATTTTTGTTTGGGTGTGGAAAAACAGGCAACCATGCATTCTTTATTATTATTATTATCATCATTATTATTATACTTTAAGTTCTGGGATACATGTGCCGAACGTGCAGGTTTGTTACACAGGTATACACGTGCCATGATGGTTTGCTGCACCTATCAATCCATCATCTACATTAGGTATTTCTCCTAATGCTATCCCTCCCGTAGCCATTCCTTCTGAAACTATTCCAAAAATAGAAAACGAGGGACTCCTCCCTAACTCATTTTATGAGGCCAGCATCATCCTGATACCAAAACCTGGCAGAGACACAACAAAAAAGGGAAATTTCAGCCAATATCCCTGATGAACATCGACGCGAAAAATCTCAGTAAAATACTGGGAAACAAAATCCAGCAGCACATCAACAAGCTTATCCACCAAGATCAAGTTGGCTTCATCCCTGGGATGCAAGGCTGGTTCAACACATGCCAACCAATAAACGTAATCAATCACATAAACAGAACCAATGACAAAACCCACATGATTACCTCAATAGATGCAGAAAAGGCCTTAGACAAAATTCAACACCCCTTCATGCTAAAAACTCTCAATGAACTAGGTATTGATGGAATGTATCTCAAAATAATAAGAGCTATTTATGACAAACCCACAGCCAATATTATACTGAATGGGCAAAAGCTGGAAGCATTCCCTTTGAAAACCGGCACAAGACAGGGATGCCCTCTCTCACCACTCCTATTCAACATAGTATTGGAAGTTCTGGCCAGGGCAATCAGGCAAGAGAAAGAAATAAGGGTATTCAAGTAGGAAAAGAGGAAGTCAAACTGTTTCTGTCTGCAGATGACATGATTATATATTTAGAAAACCCCATCGTCTCAGCCCAAAATCTCCTTAAGCTGGTAAGCAACTTCAGCAAAGTCTCAGGATACAAAATCAATGTGAAAAAATCACAAGAATTCCTATACACCAACAATAGACAAACAGGGAGCCAAATCATGAGTGTACTCCCATTCGCAATTGCTACAAATAGAATAAAATACCTAGGAATACAACTTACAAGGCATGTGAATGACCTCTTCAAGGAGAACTACAAACCGCTGCTCAGGGAAGTAAGAGAGAATACAAGCAAATGGAAAAACATTCCATTCTCATGGGTAGGAAGAATCAATATGGTGAAAATGGCTGTACTGCCCAAAGTAATTTATAGATTCAGTGCTATCCACATCAAGCTACCACTGACTTTCTTCACAGAATTAGAAAAAACTACTTTAAATTTCACATGGAACCCAAATAGAGCCCTTATAGCCAAGACAATCCTAGACAAAAAGAACAAAGCTGGAGGCATCACACTACCCGACTTCAAACCATACTACAAGTCTACAGTAAGCAATCATGTATTCTTAATGGTGTGGTAAATGTAAATTGGTAAAAATTCTTTGAAAAATATTTGATGTCATTTCTACAAATTAAAAATTATATATTCTTTGTCCAAGAGGTAGATATATAGGAATTTAGAAATCTCTTCTAAGGAGACTTCCTGGATGTCACTCCAACACTTCTGCTTACGTAGTATTCCCCTCCTTTCTATGGGGATATGTTCCAACACCCTTTATGGATACCTGAAATCACAAATTTTTAAATAACTCTAAATATACATTTTTTTCCAATAATTCATACCAATGAAAAAGTTTAACTTATAAATTATTCCCAGTAAGAAATTAACAACTAATACTAACATAGCATAATTACGACAATTTATTCTAATAAAAATTATGTTAATGTGGGCTCTGTTTTTTTTTTTCTCAAAATATGCTGTGGTACTGTACCTCTGGTAACTGAAAACTGAAACCACAGAAAACAAAATGGCAGATAAGTGGGGACTATTCTGTATCATTTTCCAGATCTTTAGTCAAATGACGACACAGAGAGTAAGGGAGGCTGCTACAAAAACACTGAGTTGCAAATGCATCATCATTTATTGTAGAAGAAAATTTGAGATAAGTATAAAGTTCAACAATAGGGTTATGATAAAAAAATAAAAATAAATGGAACGTTTATTTAGCAGTAGACAATCATGCATTTACAAAAGTCAAGGAAGATTTTGGGATACTGCTGTGTGAAGACAGACGGGAAAGACTGAATATTTCTGTGAGGTTCTTCCTTCCTGGGAATGCCTCAGGCAGTTTTGACCTCCCCTGCTTTCCTCCTATGTGTACTGACAGGATTTTCCAATTGGAAATAGTCTCAAGACTGTTAAAATACTTTCAGTTTTTATCAGTGAGATCTTTTAGTGGGATATACATGCTATATCCTGAAATAAGCCACTCCGTTACACTCGTCCTGCAGACAGAACTTGATTGTCATTCTGGAACCAAAATGTCTCCCCATGTGCAAAGGAAACATAAAGGATGCAGAGCCTCATGGTTTGGGTCTTCCTAGATACAGATGCTATACTGGTAACGTTACTTCTTTCTTGTATTCTCTACTAATTATTAGTAAAGGTCACATTGGGTAAAAATCTATAAATTGTGCGAGTCTGACAGTTCAGCCTTTAGTGATAGTTTGGTATCTGAAAACGTTGATGCATATAAAGTAAGTTAGAAGATAAATTGTCTTTATACAAAAAAAGTGTATCTATCTCTTCTTATATAGATAGGAAGAATATATTTCTAGATGAATACACAATAAATTATTAATAGTAAGGAATAAAACCAAACACTATGTTTTATGCACTAAATTATTTTTCCACATTCAAAATTACTTTTACTAAAATTGATAAAAGAAAGTAAATATAGATTTTTTGTAATTCTAGGTAAATATAACTGCCCATAACTATATTATTTATATCAAGATCTGTGAAAGCTTAGTTATTGAGTTAAACATTGTTAGATTGGTGAGGAAATTAATTCTTAAGTTCAAGCTTAGTCAATGAAACTATAATCATCATTGTATCAAGACTGAGGATTACTTTAGAATAAATCTATCAGTTAATGTAGAAGCTCATAATAAAGTTTCCTTGAAAACATTAATCAAGATTTCATCATGATAATCATGATAATGACAAAATAAGTTAAGTATAAATGTGGCATGAAAGACCCTTGAATAAATCTAGTTTATGTCTATAGTTTCAGTTTATTTAAGGTATCTGTTTATATATAAATATTCTGTTTCATTCTTTTTTGCTTTACAAGAAGTTGTACAATACTAGGTTGTCCAACCCATTGTGTTCTCAAAGGGACTTTTCGAACAACTCAAATCCTCTTATTCTCTCCGATTTCATGATATTGAAATGTATGTTTTCTGGTCCCAACTTACTTTTCATGAAAGCTTAGATAAATACATTTGTGACTTATAGATTTTAAATTCCACAATGTTATCTTATATGAAGTTAAATATTTGGAAGAGGCTGGAGGAAAGGGTCTTTTCAGATTATATCCTTCTGTATTGCTTTTATGATATTCAAAGGATTTTTTTTTACTATTTTTATAAAAGAAGTTGGAAATACATCTCATGGCATTAAATTACCATATAAATAAACTCGAACAAAATTTCCTTCAAATGAACAATAGACCTTGTTTTCTTTTTTCTTTTTTATTTCTTTTTCAAGAATATAGCTAAGCACTATTGCGGAGAAAGATTACAAGGTACTAGATCTCTGAAAATCACTTTGAGGTAAGTGAATTAGTTTCCATGATAAGTAAATCTTATTCTGTTCAGCCACTAAAAATAAGCACCAAAAATTAGATTCATGTAACTCAGCAAAGATCTGGAATAAAAATAATACATGAGATAAAAATCCTCATATTTTAATTATTACTCAATCTATAACTTTTCAATGTGGCATTGGGAGAAGAAAATTTAATGCTTAAATTCCCATTTTGCAACTTTACATAAAAACAATGCCGCTGACAGGCTACAAAAGAACTTTGAAAGCAATAACAGATAACAATACAATCCTTTTTACAATAAGTTTAGAAATTAAATGATGAAAATAAAGGACAATTAAAGATTAGGGACCTACTGATGGATAATTAAAAGCCCAGCAATTGTGATCATCAAGATTTTTTCAAAATCATCTAATTTATAGCAAGTAATTTTTTCTGAAAATAAAAATTTATTATACCATGAGATATAAAAAATATTTTGACACTTTTCCTGTGTATGAACAATAATGGCTCATGTAGAACTGGAGGAAAGAATTTCTTTCTGGTCTGTTATAGAGAGCATTGGCTTAACAAAAGTATATCCTACATAATCTTCTCAGATTTGAATAGAGCCTTTAAGCATGGGATGATTTTTGTTGTTGTTGTTTAATTTCTTTCTTTTTTTAAATTATACTTTAAGTTCTGGGATACAGGTGCAGAACGTGCAGATTTGTTACACAGGTATACACGTGCCATGGTGGTTTGCTTCATCCATCAACCTGTCATCTACATTAGGTATTTCTCCTAATGCTACCCCTCCTCTAGCCTCCCACCTCCCGACAGGCCCCAGTGTGTGATGTTCCCCTCCCTGTGTCCATGTGTTCTCATTTTTCAACTCCCACTTATGAGTGAGAACAAGGCATAGGATGATTTTAAATAATCAGTGGTAGAAAGTATAACTTTCCAGGCTATGATATTCCAGTTAATGACATCTTCTCCAGCAACCAGTATGTATTGAGTACATGCCTAGCCATAAACAAAATAACCAGAATTGACCAAATACTTAATATATTCAAGACCCTGTAGGTACTTTCGTATATTCTGAGACTTAATTCTTATATCAGCTCTATGATATAAGTGTCACAGTTTATCTCATTTTGCAGGTAAATAAGTTGAAAACCAAAGAGTTAAAGTGGCTTTTTCAGAAATGCCAGCCCAGTCAGATTAAAGCAGAAATAGACACAGCCTTTTTGTAAGTACACTCTATTGTCTTAAGTAACTCTATTAATAGACATAAGGAAAAAAATTATTTTAAAGGTATCATTTTTAGCTTTAGTGTACCTAGAATTGAAGACTGAAAATATGCCCACTAAAAAACAACAGTACAAAAATCACATGAGAAATCATAAGTTAACATATATTAGTATATTTACTTAAATTATTTTAATTATTCCCCCATAACTTTTAACAGAGTCTATCATTTTGAAGATGTGCTCTTTAACTGAATTAGAATTCAAGAAATAACACGATGTTATTTATTTCCATTTTTAAAAATATGATTAAATCTATCTCCTTAGCCATTGTCAAATATTAATTTTTTGGGTACACAGACTAATTATGCATCTGCTGATAAATTAGAATAGTGTTAATAAAATTATAAAATAATCTGAATTATATTATTCAACAAGTACAATAATATTGTTAAATATCAATAGCTATACAAACATAAATTATGACTATTCATTAAATGGAAGTGGGTAATCACAAAGGCCTTCATTCTTGTCTTGAGTGGGCTGAGGAGGAGGAGGAAGAGGAGAGTTAGTCTTGCTGTCTCAGGGATGACAGAAACAGAACAGGAGGAGGAGGAGGTAGAAGGGGAGGCAGGAGACACAGGCACATTCAGTTTAACTTTTGTTGAAAGAAATCTCTGTATAAGTGATGGCAGCTGCTGGCTGTCCGGAGCGGTCAGAGCAGTGGCAGGAGCAGCCGTGGGAGTGGCAGTGGCGGCGATAGCACCCCTGTGCCCTGCATCCCCTGTGCCCCATGTCCCGAGGCAGCTGACTGCACTGTCTCCACCTGCGTGTGGCCGGAAGGGACCCATTCCAAGGCCCGGAGCCTCCACTGGTCCAGACACTGACCTCATATCATCGCTCCCGCCCACCACCACTGTGGGGAGGAGGCGGACAGTCCTTGGAGCCTGCCCCCGGGAGCCCTCCGGAGCCTGCTGCCCTAGGGGGGCTGCCTTGATGGGCCGGGCCTAGCCGCCCACCGATGGGAAAGCAGTGCCGTCGGGCACAGAGGAGGCAGCAGAGAGGGGTCCAGCGAGGACCTGGAGCCCCTGCCCCAGGCTGCGAGGAGATGCAGTTGGGGCTACATGCTCCACAAAGCTGGTGGGAGCCAGGGACAAGCAGGAGCCCTGACCCTTCCAAGTTGGTGGGGTGGGAGCTTCCCGGGTGCGGCTGCAGACCCAGGCATCTCTGCACTCTCGGGCCTGGGAAGCCTCCTACCTTCCGGGTTGGAAACGCCTGCTTCCGCTGCCTGGCTTCTCCCCGCTGTCTCTACCTTCTTGGATCTTGGAGAAAAGTCGCGGCCAATGCTGGGCGCTGTCACAGACCACCAGGTTGTGCACATGCTTAGGGGGGCAGCGCTGACTCACCCATCCCCGCCGCCAGAGTCACCTCTGGACTTTGGGTGCTGACAAGCAAGAGACGGAGGCTAAGAGGGTGCTGAGGACAGCTCAGCACTGGCCTGCAGGCCCCACTTGGCATGAACAGCCTGGGTGCCATGAATAGTGGCAGAAGGCAGACAGGCTCCTGGGCAGAAGGAGGCTGGTCTCTGGTGAAGCCTCACCTTCAAGCCAGGGAGGGCCTGAGGCCTGGGGGCGAGGCTGCCAATCCTGTGGGCCAGAGCGGGAACTTGTGTTCTTTTCCCTGGGCCCGCCCGTGGCTGCCCACGGACCAATCAGCATGCACTTCCTCCCCTCTGAGGCCCATAAACCCTCCCCACTACCCCCACCCCAGACTCCGCGGAGAATGGAGAGACAATGGAGAGATGAGAAAACCAGCTGCAGAAAGGAACTACCCTCTCTGCTGACAGCTGGACACGCGGCAGGATGACCTGCCTAGCAGAGAGAGCTACCCTCTCTGCTGAGAGCTGAACACTCATGGGGACACCCTGGCTTCAGAGAGGAGCTGCCCACTGTAAGTCTCCTCTGAGCTGTTCTATTACTCAGTAAAGCTCCTCTTTGTCTTGCTCACCCTCCACTTGTCTTTATACCTCATTCTTCCTGGACATAGGGCCCACCAAACAGCAGGGCTAAAAGAGCTGTAATATAAACAGGGGTGAAACACACCCCTTGCTCGCCATGTTGTGGGTGACAAGGAGAGAAGAATAGCTGCGGTCCTTCAGGGAGAAGAGCTGCGGCCCTTCAGGGATCCCATACCTGGGAGCCCCCCGAGCCACGGCTATGACTCCCCTTTCGGACCCTTGAGTGTCCAGGCTTCTAGGTGCCACCGAGTTCCCTGGTGCCAGTTGTGTACCTGGTCCAGCTGCAGTTATGCATTGAGCTAACACCTGTGCCAGCACCTGGACCCGCCCACCTTGCTGCAGCAGCCGGCGTGCCTGACTGCACAGTTTCCGGACCCCACACTTGCTCGCTCACACACCCCTTGCCGCTATGCTACAGTCTCTTCGGAGGCGTGGGATCCAAACTGGTAGTGTGAGCTGAACGCAGCCTGCCAAGGTGAGTGGGCACAGTGGACTCAAGCAAAACTCGGGCAAAGGCGCCACCAGCCACAGAAGTTTCTGGCCAGAAAAGCAACACCCCCAAGAATCCCATAAGATAAGTGGATCCGTGCAGTTTAGACCTGTGTTGTTCAAGGATCAACTGTATTTCAAATCTGTAATTTGGTAGGCCATCTTGTTATTTTGGAATCATTTGCTTATATATTTTAAATTATTTATTAGATCTCAGTTTTCCATTTCTGTCCTTTGATTTTCTTCCTATTTAGGTTCTTCAATATTATTCAATCATCTGGTCTCTTGTATTGATGTCATATGTTTATTCACTTTTCAATTTCCATATTCTTACTTTGGGGTCTTCATATGCTGTTGCTGACATTTTTGCCAGTATCTGTTCCTTATCTGCTTTCTTACATCTCTCAGTAATACGTATATTTACTCATTTTCTGCTATGCAGTAATGATGAGAAACCCAATAGACATCATGAAAAGTAATTTTTTTAGAAATTCTTTCAAGGTTAACTTTCTGTGCACATTTATATATGGCACTACCCAAGGTTTGCACTTGACTTTAAGACTGTATTTCTTTCTGATTTCTATGGTAAGATTGAATTGATGTCATTTTATCCTGATGACAGATAATGTTTAGTTAATTCAAGACATACAATCAAGCACAGTTTTCTTTAAGATGCCCACAGGTGTGCATTAATGGGCTGCTAGTTCAATTAGTCTGTGATGTTCCTACCAAAATATTCTAGTTTTTCCTTTGTTGAGATGAAATGTCACAAAGCTATTGTAAGGATTAAATGAAATAATTTACATAAAATTTAAAAGAAATTGGGATAGTTTATACTCAGTAAATGCTTCTATCTTCAAATCAATTTCTTAACTCATAAAGAGAATATCTGGTCACTGAGTCTTATCAAATATTAGTAGGAATATATCTACTAAATAGGAAACTGCCCGGGGTACAATCTTTCTCAAGGAATCATCTACTTTGAATTTAACAAGGAAAAAATGTTGTTTCAAGTACTTTCATTATTTTTCCTGAAAGTCAACTCTTTAATATGTGTTATATCCAATTAGTAGAACACATAAAATTGTAAAGATGAAAATAACACTAATTGTGACAGCCATGGAGGTGTCAAGGTGTCAGATCTGCTGCAGTAGGTATAGTCGGCTGACAGCCTCCACCAGCTGTGTCTTCGGGTTTCACTGAAGTATCTAACCATGCCAGGGTTAGGCTTTCTTCTGACTGCTCTAAGTCAAGGAGTGAGCGGAGGAGGGACGTTAGACCTGAGCCATTTCTGCCCAATGCAGGGCACTTCTAAGAGGAAATATTTGCCATGGAGTTTGCTATGGCTTGAGTGAACCTTTCTCATAGCTGCATTGGAATATGAGGTTCCTCCTACCTCATGTCCTGCCAGACCTCAATTGTATCATAAGTGTCAGCAATGGATAGGGGTCTCAAAGCTCTCCCTGCCTTCCTCTGCTCCTTGTCCTCTTTATTATTTACAGACATTTCACTCAATGAATTTTTGGCAATTCTACTTTTGTCTTGGCATCTGCTTCCAAGAGGACCAGAACTGACACATTTTTAAACTGAAATTTTTCTTTGAATACTATTAACGAACATTTTCACTCTTAATAGCCAAGACTGGGTAAAACAGAAATAAAATTATGTACATAGAGAATATCACATGTAGTATTATTTAAAATTTCTAAGCCGTTTAGTGAGACTGTGTGAAGTCACCATTTTTACTATGGTAGAGGGCCTCCATTGTTGTATTTTTCCTGATGAAGTATAGCTTCACCTTCTCAGATATTACATGGAAAATGTGAAAAAAAATTGGTTGTTAGAATCACCAAAGAGAGGCGCAATAATTTTAAAAGTAAATTTAATAAAGTCATAGATTTTAAAATCGATCTCCTCTTATTTCCAACACTTTTAAAATAGTACAGAGTATAATACAATTTTATATAACATAGAAAGATTGATTTTTAAAACAGCTCTATGAGACCTTCAAAATTATCCTGTATACTGCCCTCATTTAACAAAAGAAGATATCAAGATTCTGACAAACTAAAGTCACCATTACTGCCAGAACTAGAATTAAAATTCCTATCTCTGGATAGAATGTTTTTATCAAAATAGTATACTGCTTTTAATACTGCTTTTGATCAAAACACCAGCTTAACGGGTTACACATGAAGTTTTCCTCCTACTTTAATCATTTCTCTATCAGATCTCCAAATGTTAGTCTCTCTTATGGTACAAAAGGCTGGAAAGTTACATAAAGTCAATTCCCATGTATTCGATTTTCTGCTAAATGGAACTGGGGAGTAAGAAAGATTTGCTAGTTATTGCAGAATTTGGGGACTCAATCCTAAATGCAATAAAGGATCATTAATGGATGCAAAATGTCCTGCTTCCTTCACGTGTTGTAAGAATATGCCATTGTCAATTACCATTAAATTTGACTTCAGTGCTAAAAGGCAGTTTCTTTCCAATTCTATTTAAAATCACAGTGTCATGACTCCAATTAAGTTGTTGTGTATCATTAAAGCATTATTTTCTTGAACACATAATACACTTTTAAAGATAATTATTGATACAATCATGAGATTAAGGACTTTTTATCTGATTAATATCCACACATGCCTCAACATCTCGTTTTCTCAGAGTTTATGCTAATACACACTAATCTCCTTTTAGTCCTATAGCGATCTACAAGTGTGAACTGGGTGGGGAAAGGAGATTCCTGCCCATTCAAAATATGTTAATGCCAGAAGAATAGAAAATTATCAGGCTGTTTTGTATGTAAATGTTTAAGTGCATGCAGAAAATTGCGTTGCTAAAATCTGCTTCAAATAAGAAGGATTTTCATTAAAGATGAGAAAACATGGACCATGGTCTCTAGGGATGTACAGAAGAATCTACAATGGTGATCTAAAAAGGTAAAGCCTATTAGGCAGATGGTGTCATATAAGAAAAAAGAAACCCCACAAAACAAAACAGGGGCTTGAGCTAGGAAGAAAAAAACGTCCAGATCCTCTTAGAATGATAAATAGAATGGAACGTGCCCTTGTGAAAGGAGGAGGCTAGGAAATACATATTCATAGCTGGAAAATCATAAAGAGGATTTATTTGAATCATGGCAAAATCAAAGGAAGAAAAGATAATAAAGGTTAAAAGTCCTTAGAGGGAAGCATGTTAGACAAGTCATGCCTTTGAACACTTAATTTGATATAGCACAATAAAAATATTAATTGGAAATTTTGATTAGTATTTAACTTTTATTGTTAGACCTAGTTTTAATCTAAGAATTCTCAGATCATGATTTTTCAAGACACACAGTACCCTTGGATAGAAAATACATTTTATTAAAACTTTTATATAATTATGTCATCATTATCTCTACTTTCCATCCATATTTTCCAAATAAGTTGTGTAAGTTTAGCATACAGAATTTCCTAAACTCCTAATTTACTCAAAAATAAAGTTGTTGATGCAATGTTACTAGTTTTTCAAAATTAAAATTACTTTATTACTGGTTTTCTTTCAGTTTTAAAACAACCTACTCATCTTAAAATTATCAAACACTTAAACATACACACAGTACAGTAAAAGTAATCATAAGACCCATTATCCAGACATAAACATTGATAGCATTTTGGGAAATTCAGAAATTATGTTATATATCTATAAACTGTTATATATGTTATATATATGTATATTATATATGTTATGTGTATGTTATATATGTTATATATATGATGATGATATATATGCAATAGAAAAAATTTATAAATATTTTGTGGCCTATTACAATATTACATGACAACTTTCTTTTCAATAAATATTTGCCTCTTTTATATGAAGCGTTACCATGTAGTGAGCACATACTATGTGCCAGATACAGTAAACAAAGATGTAAGCAACATACAATAGATGGTAAATGTTAGTAGCTATTATTCTATCACCTAATCTGTATTTGGATCATGTATGTTAGTAATGATTTTCTTCATTTTATACATAAAGACACCTATCTTAGTTTCAGAAACCTTTTTCAGGTCATACAGTTATGATTTTTCTTTGATGTTGTCAGATGTTTTTAATATCTATCTAATAAATGCAAAGTACAGGTATTTATTCTAAAATTATTTAGTTCTGTATTTATGAAATTTTAGTTCATATAGTATGTCTCACCATGAAAGATTGATTGATTTTTTTTGCATTTGCATTTCTTATTTATATAATAAGAATAAATCCCTAGAACAGATAGTTCAAAGAAAATGCAGCATTTAGATTTTAAGATACATTGATAAATTACTATTCCAAATACAGCTAATAATATCACAATCACACTATTGTCATCAAGGAAAAGTTCAGTCAATATTGTCAGTTTTTTTCAATCTGATAAGTAAACAAAGGAGATATTACTTTTGATATAATTTCATGTATACTCTCATTGGCTGTTTTTATTATTTCATAGTCATGAATTTTCTATTTACTATTTCAACCATTTTTTATTAGGTATTGACCTTTTTATATTGGAGGTATATTGGAGACATTCTAGTATAACATATTTGTAAATAAGTTTTCTTTAGTCATTATTATTCTTGCAATTTTTTAATAAAAACTTCAGCATGATGATATTTACATTTTAATTTTGTTCAAATGTTGTCAAATGCATATTTTTTAAATTTTAACATGAACCATAATCTATGATTTATTTATAAAGAAAT
Organism: Homo sapiens; assembly: GCF_000001405.40. Taxonomy (NCBI): domain Eukaryota; kingdom Metazoa; phylum Chordata; class Mammalia; order Primates; family Hominidae; genus Homo; species Homo sapiens. The sequence goes on from NC_000003.12 coordinate 80,057,357, forward strand.
TGGTAAAGAAAAAACCCACCAATTGATTTAAAAATTGGCAAAGGATCTGAATAGACATTTTAAAAAGAAGACTAACAATGTCCAACAGATACATGAAAATGTGCTTGTTTTCATTAATAATCCAGGAAATGTGAATCAACACCACAATGAGACATCAGTTTGCATTTGTTAACATGGCTATTACTAAAAAGACAAGAGATAATAAGTGTTGGTGAGAATGGAGAGAGAAAGAAACATTCATTCATTTATAGTGTAAATGCAAACTGGTACAGCCATTATGAAAAACACTATTGAGGTTCCTCAAAGCGTTAAAAAGAAAACTACCTTGTGATCTAGTAATCCTACTAGTGGAATATATTCATAGGAAATGGAATCAGTATGTTGAAGAGATATCTGCACTCCCTTGTTCATTGCAGCATTTTTCACATTATTAGCCAAGATGCGGAATCAACTGAAGTGTCCATTAACAGATGAATGGATAAATAAAATGTGGTATATATATATATATATATACAATGTGATAGTATTCAGACATTTTTTAAAGATGAATTTTTTAGTTAAAGCTAAAGTGGATAAACCTATAAGACATTATGCTCAGGGAAGTAAGCAAGGCACAGAAAGACAAATACTGCATTATTCCACTTACATGTGGAATCTAAAAATGTCAAACTCGTAGACACAAAGAATAGAATTGGGATTACCAGAAGCTGGGCAAGGAGGGTGTGTGGAAATTTTGATGAAGATTTACAAAGTTTCAGTTATACAAAATAAGTAAATTCAGGAGATTTAATATAAAATAATGTGACTACAGTTAACAATAATATATTGGTACTTGAAGACAGCTAAGAGATTAGAGCTTAGAGTTTTTGCCATACACATAAAATTGGTAACTACATGAGGTTATGGATGTGTTAATTAGCTTTATTGTGGTGAATATTTTATAATATATGCATATATCAAATAATGAAGTTGTATACCTTAAATATATACAATTTTTGGCTGACAAATATATCTCCATAAGCTTGAAGAAACCTATGTTGTTTATCTATTAATCTTTTTTGTTACATCAATTTTAATGTAAATTCACTGTGAATATAAAAATTCTCCATGTGATTTTATTACTTTGAAATTTGTGGCGACTTACTGTAAGAACAGATAAATTATTAGTTTTTACATTTTTTCTGTGTGCACATAATAAGAATTTTGTTTGGTAATTGTTGAGCACCAGGACTCCAACATTAACTTCTAGGAAACAGGATGAAAAAAATCCAAGAAAATTTTGAAAGAATGACCAAAGTAAAGTGGCTATAACCAAGATAGTATGGTTGGTGTCTTTTGAGCTAAGTAAAGAAAGTTTTCCAAGAGTGTGCATGGGACTACCTGTGTGACATGGTGTTGACATGAGAATAGAGTGGTTATCATTGAATTTGTCATGATAAAGTCATTGGTTACCTGGACAGTAGAAGTTTTAAGAAAGTGGAAATAAAAGCATCATCTGAGTAGCTCTACTACCAAATAGAAAGAAAGTGTTGGTTAAGAGATGTGTATGTTTAATTCCCTCATGGCTATATGAAGGAAGATTGATGTTTCTACTATTTTATTGTCCTCCCCAGGTCTTAGTTCACAAAGAATATAGCAAGTTCCTTCTTGGAAATCATAATTTTCATAGACTTGTAGTTTTGGATTGGGCTGAATTAAGTGTATCAGACATAAGTTTACTATGATTGTCCTTTCGTTTACTAGTGACTACTATTACTGCAGGCGTACCTTGTTTTATTGCTCTTCACTTTGTTGCACGTCACAGGTACTGTGTTTTTTACAAGTTAAGAGTTTGTGGAAACTATGTGGAACACATGTATCAGTGCCATATTTCCTATAGCATGTGCTCACTTCATGTCCCTATGACACATTTTCATATAATTCTTGCATTATTTCAAACTTTTTCTTTTTTATTATATTTGTTATTGTGATCTGTAATCAGTGATCTTTGATGTTACTATTGGATTCTTCTGGGGTGCCATAAACTGTGCCCATAGTAAACAGTAAACCTAATTGATGAGTATCGTGTGTGTTCTGACTACTCCACTGGCCACTGTCTGGCCATTCCTGTCTCTCCCTTTCCTCGAGTCTCCTTATTCTCTGAGACACAGCAATATTAAAAGTAGGCCAATTAATAGCCCTACGATGGCCTGTAAGTGTTGAACACAAAGGAAGCATCACACATCTCTTACTTACTTTATATATTTGTTTATTTTGAGTCAGGCTCTTGCTCTCTCACCCAGACTGGAGTGCAGTGGTGTGATAAACATGGCTCACTCAGCCCCAACCTCCTGGGCTCAAGTTATCCTCCCACCTCAGCCTCCCAGGTAGCTGGGACCACAGGAGCATTGCACCACACCTGGCTTTTTTTTTTTTTTAAATTTTTTGCAGATATAGGGTCTCACTGTGTAGCCCAAACTGGTTTCAAACTTTTGGGCTCAAGTAATCCTCCCACCTCAGCCTTCCAAAGTTCTCACTTTAAATCAAGTGCTAGAAATGATTAAGCTTAAAATGAGGAAGTCATGTTAAAAGCCAACACAGGCTCAAACCTAGGTCACAAGCTAGACTGCTTGCTCCAAAAAGTGAGCCAAGTTGTGAATGCAATGAAAAAATTTACAAGAAAATTAAAAGTGCTACTCCATTGAACATAAGAAAGATAAGAAAATGATAAGAAATGAAAATCCTTTTAAACAGTCATTTCATAAAAATGAGTATTTTTTTTCTGTTCACATGTATCATTTACAATTAGATTTTGCATTGCTAAGACATTGTGTCATTAATCTGTTAGTACTAAAAAACAAACAAAGAAACAAACAAACAAAAAACACTGTTTTAAGTTTTGCCTTCTTTAAAATGGAAATAACAATGAAATCTGCCCCTCATGGGACTGGTATAAGAATTAAAGGAATTAATTTACTTCTCAAAAAATGTCGGGTATGTGTTTCATACCTGTTAGATATTGTATTTCCATATATTCTATGTATTGAAACCTCTGACAATTAAGAAATATTTTAGTAAAAAATGCAGGCAATAATCTTATTCATAGGTATTATTTTTATCTACATTTTGCACATTTTACATAAATTATACATTTACAGACTTAGATAAACTAAGGATTAAAAGCACAACTATATGCAGGGCTATTAAATAGGTATAATAATTCTTTTATTACATCATTTTTAGTCTTCAGCGTCCATTCATACTGCCTGTTACATTATCTATAATTTTTGTATCCAAGAGGAAAGATCCTATAGAAGAAGAAGTCAGGAGTCTTTAAAAATACTTTGAAGAAAGAAACAAACAAAAAATACTAGAAAGATTATCTAATAAGAGGAATAAAAATTTACTAAATGTATCAAGTAAGAAGTCATTTGCAATCACTAATGTAAAATTTTTGTGGAATATTTGAACCGAATCCAGATTTCAGAAACATCAGAAAAATTGCATGTCCAGTAGGTGGAAATATGGGCATATGATACACTTTCTTAAGTCCTACCTCTACAGGCTGTTTATTCTGGAATAGGAACAAGTTTGAGAAGCTTACCAAGAAACAAAAAGGAACAATTAGGTCTTTATCAACTAGGTTAATTGATTTATATAAGATTTGGACATACATTTATCAAAAAATATATGTAGTTGCCTTTTTATAATAAAATTTTCTAATGATTATTCATTCATTAAACTTATTTTCATACACACACACAAAAATCCCAAGTCTGGATTTGAGTATTTCAATATGTTCTGTATTGACTGAGAACACAGATAAACAAAAGCTTTTATTTTTATATCAAAAAGATCAAATCCCAAAACTACTGAGAAATAACTTAAAACTTTTAAGTTTCACATTCTGCATATTAAATATGTCTTCATAGATTGGGGATTCTAATTTAAATTCCACTTAATACTTTTTATTAATTGAGAAAACAATTCAGTCGTTTCTAAATTTGATTTCAAATCAGGTTTATAAAAATCTAAATTTATTTTTACTCTTTTATTAATTTATCAGAGTTTGATTTGATAAAAGGTTAAGAAAAAGTACTTATTGTGTAGCATACATTACTCTGAGTGAAAAGTACATTTGCATGCATTAAGTGTTCAACTATGTAATTATAAATGCTAACATAGTAATTACCTGTTCTAATTATGATACATAATTAGTATAAGTGCATCTAATTATGTAATTACATGAAACATCCATGTGATAATAAAAAATCTCACATTATTATTAAAGGTGAAAATGGAAAATTAAATAGCAAAGTGAGTCAAATTTATAGGAAATATTCATGGCATTCACAGTTTACTTTCTTATTCTCTATTGATTAGCAATTGTTGATTTATAATTATGCAAGTCAATTCTTTGTTTTTTTCTAAGAGTTACAAATGAAAGATAAAAGAAATGAAAAATTATCGAATTAAGTAATTTAGCACTTATGCGACTATCTGATCACTTAGAATAATTAGTTCTCTAAAGAGAAGAAATTTCCTAATGTCCACAATGCTAACAGAAATTGTTTCAAAATTGATTTCAGGAAGACTAATTTGGGCAAACCATTCTCAAATTAAAATAATTATCTCTGAAAAATGTTTCCATAGCTCTAAATGATTTCTCCATATTTGAAGTGTCAATTTATTTATCTAGAAGTCTCATTGATGGAGTATTATCTTGCTTGTCTTTAGATATTTTATGTGTAATATTTCTGATTTTTAAAATACTCATGGTAGAAAGTTGGTAAAAGCTGCTTTAAATTCTCGTTGAGGTAAAATTATAGACTATTGCACATAGTGGCAATCACAAAATAATAACATTTGTATGAAAATTCATATTCATATAAATATATGTTACATAATTGAATAATTTAACAAATTAATTAACTCATGAATGAACAGAAGTATATGAACACAATCCTTGGGCCATATGAATGCACTAACTTCTGTGTTAGAGCAAATTTGGAATAGTTTCTTAAGGAAAACGTACAGGCTGAAGTGAGATGCCCTTATATTAAGTTGTGCTGAATGGCCTATTCAATGTTTTTAGGAAGATATCAACTGCAGTTCCTGGAATGTATACAATGTAACTCCTGCACTTCACATACAAATGTTGATACAATAAGGCCTTGCCAGAAAAGTGTAACCTTTTGATAAATTATCCTTAGTTTACTGGAATACTTTTTTTGAATTGCCTAAAAGAGATTCAGTCCCTTGTGTTCTCATGGTAGTCCATATTTAATCAAATCCTAAGAAAGCAGTATATTGGAACCATATCAGGTTAACCTGTCATAGAATTGCATGTATTGAACTGTACTTTTTTTTTATGGCTATGATATTAACCTTAGTTGATGTTATAAACATCTTTATATCGAAACCTGGCAATGCCAAGGAAAAGTCCATAGAAAAAAAATTCTGTGTTAGTTTGCGCAGACTGACAATGTACAAACAGTTCTAAGGTTGTACTGGGTTCAAGGGTTTGAAGAAAATGGAAGAAGCAACAGTTGTTAATATAAAAGTACAGTTGACCCTTGAACAATGCAGAGGTTGGGTTGCAGACCCCTGCAAAGTTGAAAATCCATGTATAACTATTGATTCCAACTAAACTTAACTACTGATAGCCTGCTATTGACTAGAAGCCTTACTGGTACTGTAAACAGTCAATTAACACATATTTTGTATGTTATATGTATTATAGACTGTAATCTTACAGTAAGCTAGAGATCATGGTGGATGGGAGGCAGGACTAGATTGCAGCTCTGGACAGAGCAGCATGCGAATGCTTGCATTGTGAATTTTAGGTCCAGATCAATTGCAAAAATAAACCAGCAATCCTGAGAGGACCCACAGATCCTCTGAAGGGAAAGGACAGCTCCTGCAGGACCTGGGAGACACCCCAAATACTGTGAGGGCCCCAACTGCGGAATTGGGAAAGAGAGATCCTCCCCTCCTGAACACACACCCCACTGGAGAACCTGAAGGTCTGTTTGCGGGAGAAGTTTCCGAGTTTACCCGGAGCTGAGTCCAGTTAGAGAGCCAAGATGAGCAAAATACAGCGGTCGAGGAAGCAGCAGAAAGGCCCTGGGAGCTCGCTGGGTCCCCAAGAGCCCATTCCTGCCTGGCACCACAGAGATTCATCGTGAGGGTCGCCAGAGGAGCAAGGGGTAAAACTCCAGAGGGAGAAGGAATTCTCTAGCTGAACTTTGTAGCAATTTAAAAGGGAGAGAAGCCTCCTGGCCACAGCTTGGGTTGGGCACGAATCCGGCTTGCAGACTTCACAGGCTGGGGAAGAACTAAAGCCCTTCTCTTTGGCAGCTGAGAGGTGGAAAGCCTTGGGCACGTTTTCAAGCCCATCTAGCTCTCCGCCTGGAAACAGACTCGGGGCTGTTGCGCGGGGCACAGTGGGAGTGAGGCCATCCTTTTGGTTTGTGTGGGAGCTGGGTGAGGCCTGTGACTGCTGGTTTTCCCCAACTTCCCTGACAACCTGCGTGACTCAACAGAGGCAGCCATAATCCTTCTAGGACAGAACTCCAGTGACCTAGGAATCTCACCCCCATCCCCCACAGCAGCCACAGCAAGATCTACCCAAGGAGACTCTGAGCTGAGACACACCTAGCCCCTCCCCCACCTATGGTCCTTCCCTATCCACCCTGGCAGTGGAAGACAAAGGGCATATAATCTTGGGAGTTCTAGGGCCCCACCCACCACCCATCCCTCTCCACAAAATCCAGCATCCCTTTATGATTAAAACCCTTAGCAAAATTGGCATACAAGGAACATACCTTACTGTAATAAAAGCCGTCTAAGACAAACCCACAGCCAACATAATACTGAATGGGGAAAAGTTGAAAGCACTCACTCTGGGAACTGGAACAAGACAAGGATGCCCACTGTCACCATTCCTCTTCAACGTAGTACTGGAAGTCCTAGCTAGAGCAATCAGACAAGAGAACAAATAAAAGCTATCCAAATCTGTAGAAAGGAAGCCAAATTGTCCCTGTTTGTTGACGATATGATCATTTACCTTGAAAACCCTAAGGACTCCTCCAGAAAGCTCCTGGAACTGATAAAAGAATTCAGCAAAGTTTCCAGATACAAGATTAATGTACACATATCAGGAGCTCCTCTATACACAAACAGCGACCAAGCAGAGAATCAAATCAAGAGCTCAGCTCCTTTTACAATAGCTGCAAAAAAAAAAAAAAAAAAAAAAGACAGCAAACAAACAAAAAAAACCAAAAAAAACTTAGGAATATACCTAACAAAGGAGTTGAAAGACGTCTATGAGGAAAATTACAAAACACTACAGAAAGAACACACATCCCATGCTCATGGATGGGTAGAATCAATATTGTGAAAATGGACATATTGCCAAGAGACATCTACAAATTCAATGAAATCCCCATCAAAATGCCACCATCATTCTTCACAGAGTTACAAAAAACAATTCTAAAATTCATATGGAACCAAAAAAGAGCCCGCATAGCTGAAGCAAGACTAAGCAAAAAGAACAAATCTGGAGGCATCACACTACCTGATTTCAAACTATACTATAAGGCCATAGTCACCACAACGGCATGGTACTGGCACATAGATCAGTGGAACAGAATAGAGAACCCAGAAATAAACCCAAATGCTTATAGCCAACTGATCTTCGACAAAGCAAACAAAAACGTAAAATAGGAAAAGGACATCCTTTTCAACAAATGGTGCTGGGATAATTGGCTAGCCATATGTAGGAGAATGAAACTGGATCCTCATCTCTCACCTTATACAAAAATCAACTCAAGATGGATTAAGGACTTAAATCTGAGACCTAAAACTATAAAAATTCTAGAAGATAACATTGGAAAAACCCTTCTAGACATTTGCTGAGGGAAGGATTTCATGACCAAGAACCCAAAAGCAAATGCAATAAAAACAAAGATAAATAGCTGGGACCTAACTAAACTAAAGAGTTTTGCATGGCAAAAGGAACAGTCAGTAGAGTAAACAGAAAACCCACAGAGTGGGAGAAAATCTTCACAATCTACGCATCTGACAAAGGACTAATATGCAGAATCTACAACGACCACAAACAAATCAGTAAGAAAAAAACAATCCCATCCAAAAGTGGGCTAAGGAAATGAATAGACAATACTCAAAAGAAGACATACAAATGGCCAACAAACATATGAAAAAATGCTTAACATCACTAATGATCAGGGAAATGCAAATCAAAACCACAATGTGATACCATCTTAGTCCTGCAAGAATGGCCATCATCAAACAATAAACAAAAAGTAGATGTTGATGTAGATGCAGCAGTCAGGGCACACTTCTACACTGCTGGTGGGAATGTAAACTAGTACAGCTGCTATGGAAGACAGTGTGGAGATTCCTTAAAGAACTAAAAGTAGAACTATCATTTGATCCAGCAACCTCACTACTGGGTATTTACCCAGGGGAAAATAAGTCATTATTCGAAAAAGAAACTTGCACGTGCTTGTTTATAGCAGCACAATTCACAATTGCAAAATTGTGGAACCAATCTGAATGCCCATCAATCAAAGAGTGGATAAAGAAACCGTGGTGTGTGTGTGTGTGTGTGTAGATAGATAGATAGATAGATAGATGATATATAGATAGATATATGGATAGATAGATAGATAGATGATATATATATATGATATATATACCTATATATGATATATATGGTATATATATGATGGAATACTACTCAGCCATTAAAAGGAATGAATTAACAGCATTTTGATATATAGATAGATAGATAGACATAGATAGATAGATAGATAGATATAGATAGATAGATAGATGATATATATATGATATATATATATATAATGGAATACTACTCAGCCATTAAAAGGAATGAATTAACAGCATTTTGCAGTGACCTGGGTGAGATTGAAGACTATTATTCTAAGTGAAGTAAATCAGGAACAGAAAACCAAACATCGTACGTTCTCAGTGATATGTGGAAGCTAAGCTATGAGGACTCAAAGGCATAAGAATGATACAATGGATTTTGGGGTCTTGGGGGAAAGAGTGGTAGGGGGCAAGGGATAAAAGACTACAAATATGGCTCAGTGTATACTGCTCCAGTGTTGCGTGCACCAAAATCTCACAAATCACCACTAATGAACTTACTCATGTAACCAAATACTGTCTGTACCCCAATAACTTATAGAAAAATAAAATAAAAAAATAAAAATTAAAAAAATAATAAAAAGTAAAAAAAAATGTAAGCTAAAAAAGAAAATGTTATTGAGAAAACCATAAGGAAGATAAAATATATTTACTATTCAGTAAAATATATTTACTATGTAATAAGTGGAAGTAGATCATCATAAAGGTCTTCATCCTTGTCATCTTCTGGAGTAGGCTAAGGAGGAAAAAGAGAGATTGGTTATGTTGTCTCAGGAGTAGCAGAGGCGAAAGAATATCCTCCTGTAAGGGGACCTGAACAATTCAAATGCATGTTGTTCAAGGGTCGACTGTATTTTCTAGGTTTGGCAAATACTCATTGTGAATAGAACGTATTCTGGACATTATAGAAAGCGACTAGGTGAAATAAAAATATAAACAAAATGGGATCCTTTCTTACTAGGAACTGGTAATAAAAGCAAGGGAACTTGTAATAGAATGCACAGTAAACATAGTTACAAGAAATTTCAATGCACATTTAGTGATAAGGCCAAGAAATCTCTCTGCTGTCTTTCCACTTTCATAATTAGCAGGTTTCTATTTGAAGTTCCTTACAAAAATATTTCTTTTTTTTATATTTTCAACCTAATACTGTACTAAATTGATCCTGCATTGCCTGTTCTATTTCACATTGGTGATTTTCTTTTCATTTAATACTGAGATTCAGAAATGATTCTCAGAAGGCTAGCAAGAATATGTGTGTGGTATACATTAATAATTCAGTGCCTTACATTGCTGTAGTTTGGAGGTTTGTCCTCCAAAGCCTCATATTGAAATTTGCTCCCAGTGCTAGTGGTGAGGACTTAATGGGAGATGTTTGGGATACTTTTGCTAATTTTGTAATTTTAAAAATAAGAGCATGTAGCCATGTGATGTAATTCGTATTGTATTACAGATCATTTTTTTCATTTGCTTCATATTCAAGCATGACCCAATAGAGTTAAACATATTGAACTTACAATAGTAAATACTGGCAATGAATCTGCTTATTCTCATTAAAGAATCTTGGCTTATCTTATGCAAAGTGCACAATTATGTTATTCAGAAAAAATAAATATCAAATAAACATTAAATAATCAACAAATAATGTGTACTTACCACAAGCCAGGAAGTTCTAAGCACATTACATATTAGTGCACGACATAACATGAACAGGTGAACTTGATGTGGCATGTGGACATGACAACAACACCATGGGTTCTATTTATATAATTTACATTTTACAGAAGAAAATGAGAAAAAAGGAGGTGAAGTGACTTATTCATTCCCTTTCTAGTAATTGGAAGTGGTAGGATTATAACCTGGTACAAGGCATAGAACCTTGGCCTAGGGTCTAGGATGCCTGCATTTAACTACCAAACCACTTGACCATTTGGCACTAGAAGTTTGCTTTGCATATTTAAATATTTTTTTATCTAAATATTTTAAGTAAAGCCAATTATTTTCCTTTTAATTTAGTTCTTTTCCTTTTGTTTTAGGATTATGCCAATTTCTACTTTACATATTTTAGTTCAAGCCCATTTGCAGTGAGGTATGGTGACTTTCTTTTCTGTGTATAGGGATTTGATTTTTGCCTTTTTGTAATTAATCATTCAATAACGAGGCGAAAACACACATGTGCATTGTCCTCTGTCAACTAGTTTATCTTTAACCCATGATTCATAATTTGTTCAGGCTGCTGTGATAAAGACTCATTGAAATCCTGGTAATTATGCATTTATCTTCATATAATAGCTGCTGACATCCATTAATTCTTAAGAGGCCAAATTTCAGAGTTTTGCACAGAAGATAAATTCTGTTCCTTGTTAGTGAATGCTCATTGTTTATTTTTGAATAGTCTTTGGCAAGTATTTCTGTTTCTATTCTTTACAGATGCTTTACATTTTTTCCTCAGAAGGCAAGTTTAACCATGTGGAATAATGCTTACCTTCAGTTAGATTCTACCAGGTAGAAGATACTCTTGCTATTCAAAATACATACATTCTCAAATGGGGAAAAACTCCCAATACAACACAAACAAGAGATTCTTACCTCTTTCAATGTTTCTGTTTCTTTTTCAGTTCTATCATTAGCTTTTCCTTAAGTGCCATGATAATACGTGTAGGTTAACACATAAATACCTCATTATAGAAAACGAAACAGTATGCAAAAGGCATCAAAGCAAATCATCACCATCAATATAAGACAGAAGAACGTGTGTTTATCAAAAAAAGAAAAACAAACAAACAAACAAAAATAACCAGAGTAATTAAGAACACAAACTGTGCAAAATTTTCTTTCAATTTCTCAGTCATGGGAAAAAGGAGACTGCCACACTTGCATTGGGATATTTTCCCAGGACTTTTACAGGTCTTTTGACGGCATTCATAATTAGGCTGTAAAAGGGAATAAGACATTTACTCATGACCTTTCTATAATGATTTAGGAGAACATGATTCTGTTCCTGTCAATCTTTGTTTCTTTGAAAATTATAGAATCTTTTTGTCGGACCCTTCTGAAGTCACAGTCTAACCATGAAAGCAGGGTATAAATGTATTCAAGGTTTCAATGTCCCAAACTATGCATATGTATATACATACACACTGACTATAGCTTAAACAACAAACATTTGTTTTTTCACAGTTCCAGAGAGGATGAGAAGCCCAAGATCAAGGCGACCACCGGATTCATTGACTGATGAGGGTTGGCTTCCTGGTTTAGAGAAGGCCTTTTTCTCATTGTGTCCTCACATGGCGAAGAGGCAAGAAAGCTTCTTAGGGTCTATTTATTTATTTATTTATTTGAGATGGAGTCTCATTCTGTTGTCCAGCCTGGAGTGCGGTGGCACAATCTCGGCTCACTGCAACTTCCACCTCCCAGGTTCAAGAGATTCTCCCACCTCAGCCACCCAAGTAGCTGGTTTTACAGGTGCACACCACCATGCCCAGCTAATTTTTGTACTTTTAGTAGAAACGGGGTTTGACCACATTGGCTAGGCTGGTCACGAATTAGTGACCTCAGGTAATCTGCCTGCCTAGGCCTCCCAAAGTGCTGTGTTTACAGGTGTGAGCCACCACGCCCAGCCCTTAGGGCCTATTTTATAAGGACACTAGTCCCATTCGTGAGGGCTTCACCCTCTTAACTTATCTCCCAAAAGCCCTGCCTCCTAGTACCGTCACCATGGGAGTTAAAATTTCAACACGTGAGTTTTGGAGGGGGATACCCACATTCAATTGACTACATTGTAACATTTTCGTTTGTAACATAGCATCACTTTTTTCGTATTTCAAAACATTTTGCTTATTTTTGAAACCAATTAAGAGACAGTGTATTATTTATTTTAATCTCTAATGATACTAATAGGCATGTTATACCTGCAATTTCTATTTGGGAATTTCAGATTTCTTTTATTTTAATTTTGTTTTTAACATTTTTACATTTTTTTTTTCCCTGAATACTTGAGCGGAGAACAGTGGCTCATGCCTGAAGTCCAAAGTGAGACGATCACTTGAGCCTGGGAGTTCCATGCTGCCGTGAGCTGTGACTGTGCCACTGCACTCCAGCCTGGGCAACAGAGTGAGACCCTGCCTCAAAAGAAGAAAAGAAAACATAAAAACTTGTCATAAAGTGTTTACCTGAAGACTGATTACATGTCAGTTAAGACAAAAATATTTTGCTAAGTTAGATTACAAATAGCTGCTTTCCAGTGACCACCCACTTGGTAATTCTACTTCTGATCACTTTTATGTTAATATTTTTTAAAATTTTGGCTTCTATAATAAAATATTAATTATAAAATTATCTAATTTGGGTAGCATTTATTCTTTACAGATGAAGAGTACTGATCATCATTCCAATGTTTTTAAAATTAAGTGCTGGAGATGTGTGTTGAGAAAAATTCTGAGGCTGTTTAGAAATGTCATTAAAAAAAAAAATGCCATGGTGGGAGGTGTACCCAACAGCTCATTGAGAATGGGCCATGATGACGATGGCGGTTTTGTCGAATAGAAAAGGGGAAAATGTGGGGAAAAGAAAGAGAGATCAGATTGTTACTGTGTCTGTGTAGAAAGAAGTAGACATAGGAGACTCCATTTTGTTCTGTACTAAGAAAAATTCTTCTGCCTTGGGATGCTGTTAATCTATAACCTTACCCCCAACCCCGTGCTCTCTGAAACATCTGCTGTGTCCACTCAGGGTTAAATGGATTAAGGTCAGTGCAAGATGTGCTTTGTTAAACAGATGCTTGAAGGCAGCATGCTCGTTAAGAGTCATCACCACTCCCTAATCTCAAGTACCCAGGGACACAAACACTGCAGAAGGTGGCAGGGCCCTCTGCCTAGGAAAACCAGAGACCTTTGTTCACATGTTTATCTGCTGACCTTCCCTCCACTATTGTACTATGACCCTGCCAAATCCCCCTCTCCGAGAAACACCCAAGAATGATCAATAAATACTAAAAAAATTAAAAAAAAAATGCCATGGTACGAAAGATTAACAAAAGAGTGAAAAATAAAGTGTTTTCAATCTTGTAACAAGGTGGATTTCTCTCTTAGAACACTGATGACCTGTATCTCACTTTTTGTTTCTATTCATAGGATAACCTGATCTAAAAAGGCATGAGCCTTAAGTGACATGTTTTGTTCTAAGAATTTTTAAATTTTAAAAGAGTCATGTTCATAATGACCCTGTGATATAAGTGCTATTATTCCACATATCTTACAAATGAGGAAACTGAAGCAGAGAGTGATAAAAGAACTTGCTACATCACATACAGTGTCCCTCACCAGCTTTCCCTTTGGGTTGCCCTTCCTTTAAAGGGCATGGCAGCACCATTTGCCTTGGAATGCTAGGCTGTGTCTGATGTACACTGCAGTATAGCTGACCTACAGCCACTAGCCATCAGGGGATGGCCACTCCCACCAGTTTCAAATGAAATATGACAGCATGGGGCATGGATCTAACATCCTGAGAGTCAGTGAAATGGAACAAATGATAAACCCAGAAGTTGGGGGAAGTCAACTCCAGTGAGGATAAATTTTAATCAAAGGGAAATAAAGGAGACAGAAAAAGGAGGCAGTTAAATTCCTTTCCCTTCTTCTCTCCCATGGACTTCTTCAAGATACAGTTTGTTTGTGTGAAGGAATCTCATTGTGAAGAAGACTCATCTGTTGAGGGACTAATTGCGTCTCTTCCTGGTTCTTTGTGAACCAGTAAACAAGGGCACTAAGATTATTCTCCTTTGCTCCATCTTTCTTTTCTTCTCTTCTCCTTTTCTTCAATCTCTCCATTCTGGGTGTGAACACCCAAATAAAGCATCCACATTTGCATTTTTGCAAGTTCTGTTTAATGATAAATTGCGATGTTTACCTATGACCAATGTCCCTTACTGAGCCAGGATTTAGGCCCAGATACTTGATTATACAATCTACTATTCTGTACTGATGCTATTATAAAGTCATAATACTTTGGGCTGGGCGTGGTGGCTCATGCCTGTAATCCCAGCACTTTGGGAGGCCAAGGTGGGTGGATCACGAGGTCAGGAGATCAACACCATCCTTGCTAATACGTTGAAACTCCGTCTCTACTAAAAATACAAAAAATTAGCCGGGCGTGGTGGCGGGCGCCTGTAATCCCAGCTACTGGGGAGGCTGAGGCAGGAGAATGGCGTGAACCTGGGAGCTGGAGCTTGCAGTGAGCCGAGATCACGCCACTGCACTCCCACCTGAGCCACAGAGCGAGACTCCATCTCAAGAAAAAATAAAAAGTAAAAAATAGTAAAGTCATAGTACTTTGTTATACATATAAAAACAAAGTTTTTCTTTGTTTGTTTGTTTGTTTGTTTTTAGATGGAGTCTTGCTCTGTCACCAGGCTGGAGTGCAGTGGCGCAATCTTCACTGCAACCTCCACCTCCCCAGTTCAAGCCATTCTCCTGCCTCAGCCTCCCGAGCAGCTGGGACTATAGGCGCCCACCACCACGCCAAGCTAATTTTTGTATTTTTTAGTAGAGATGGGGTTTCACCATGTTGACCAGGAAATTTACATGCTCATTTTAACAGTCAGAATGTTTTCATTTTAACAGTCAGAATGTTTTCACTATGCAGATGAGAGACCTGGAGGAGACTTCATGATTTTATTCATCCCCCAAGATTTCCTCAGGACTGGTACCATTTTCCATCACTGTCTTCTGCCGTCAGCAACATGTGAGCTTTCTCCACAGGTGAGCTCCATTTATGGTTTCAAGATAACACTAATGGATTCAGAACATAAATATACATGGGAATGTTCAGAGGCAAAACTAAACTTTCTTATCTTATTAAAATGGGAATATTCATTTCATAGAAGACTGCTTACCTGTCTTCTCCTGCTAGGTCATTGGCAAGAATTGTCTTGCATATTCATGTCTGAACCAATAACTAGGGAGGGAGAAGTGTGATTTCAGCACATTCTGATAAACTCTGGTAACTGGGACTGGGAACATCTTCTGATAAGTCATGGCTGTGCAGAAGAGCACAGATACATAAATAAAACTGAAGTTCTCTTATGATAAAAGTTATGTCAAGAATGGAAGTTATGTCCAGCGGAGCAGAAAAAAACCCTAAGTCCCTACAACTTTTTAAACCACCGAACCAGCCCTACACTGCTCACCAGAGAATTATGTTGTGTAAGAATAAACTGCTGAGTGTTTAATCCATATAGTCATTGTTACTTACGCCCCTAATAAATGCATAAGCTATAAGATAGCATGAGAAATGTGGTGTGCCTATATAGATATTGTGTTAGTTAACCTGAAAGGGCACACCAATTCCATAATAAACCTTTCTAAAACATAATACTGTAGTTAGTATCCTTAAATCATTACCAGAATGGCAATGTTTGAAAATGTGGAATACCTATTATCCTAAATTAATAAGAACTTTTCACTGAGGTGTAGAATTGGGAATTTTCAGTTTTAATAATCACTGAAATGGATATTAGTTAAGATTCTCTCTAGAGTAATATAGTTCGAAATACACTGAACCATTTCGACATACATATTCATGATTAATTTAAATAAAGTTCACTTTTCTGTGTTTTCTACTGCTGATAACTTCTATTTTAGATTAGTTTGTAGTGTTATTTTTCAACATGTAAAACCCTTCTATATAAAAACCTCATCCCCCAATTATTAAATAAACCAAATGTATTACCCCACTTCTCTTTAATACAACATGTTTTTATATCATAAGAAATAAAATCCAAAATCCAAAACTAAATCCAAAACATATCTAATAAAGTGTAAACAGCTGCTTTGTGCCATTTTAATTTGTTACTGCTTTTTCTTAGTCTGGTGAAAGAAAAGTTAATCAATGTAAAGTTAGTCAATGTGAGGTGTAATGAAACAAATTTTGTTTCTTTTATCCTTCCCAAATAAACTCTATATTAAACAGTAATATTGAACTTAACATTTTTAATATTGTGACTAATATATTTGTACTGAGTAGTAATATTTTTTAGTGAATACAAAATCACTGTCAATCACTATTTTTGTTTCCTTAAAAATAGCATTTTTCATGGGTACGTAAGGAATAGTATGTCACTGGATATCCACTATTCTGATGTGTAGCTGTGATAGAATGCATGTTATTAAAATTAGAATAGATTTTGAAAAAATAAAGAAATCATTAATAATTTATATTGGCCTACTACTTGTAATAAATTAATGGGAAGTAGGAGTTTTGTATATCTCTCAAGCCTTCTAAGGGTAAGTCATCTTTGTTAATATTCTTGAAGGTCTAAGATTCACAACGCATGCAAATAACCTTAACTCTTTAATAAGTAAAGAGTAACATGTAGGCTTTAAAATGACAAGTCATTACAAACCTTCAGTGAAAAATCTGTTAATCAAACACAAACATGCTTTTTATTACCTTTCACCAACAAGAAAATTATTCTCCTGGATGTTCTTCTCCTATAAAATATTAAACAATGTATATAGTATATTTCATGAATGAACCTTCTGATAAATATACCTTTAAAATCTTGGTAACATTTTAATGTTTGAAAATGCATCCTTGAGTTACAACAAGTCAAAGATTTAAACAGAAATAACAAAAATTGAAAACCTTGTGTGGTAAGGTAATACAAAGTTAGCTTTCACTGTGAATATCTATTTCAAAACAATAAATTTGACCTTTATTTTAATTGTTGCACAAGATGAAATATAACAAAAATGAAGCATATTGCCCACTCAGTATACAAAGTATAATAATGTACATAAAGCTAAGGTTCCCAGATATTATATAGTTCAATGCAACATTGGACAAGAAAGAAACTCTCAAAGCAGAAAAAAAACAGTAAATAAAACACCCTTTCTTTGCCTAGAAATTGGGTAAATGAAGAAAAGGGAAGAGAAATCTTGTTTGAAAATATAGGATTTACAAACCAGTAGCTATGTTGAGTCTTGGTATATTTAAAGTGTTTATATGATTTTAAAACACATGGATAATTTCATTTAAAGCAGTCTTCAGTTGACATTGATTTTCTGCAACCAGTATAAGACTATGAAATCCATTTCAGGAAGAATACAACTTCACATTGATTTTAAATAACCATCACAGATAAAGTTCCAAGATATTTTGTGGCCAAAATTCATACAAGATTTGATTACAATGATGAAAGTGAGTTAGCAGAAAGAAAGGACAGGCATTAGAAACAGACATGAAGAGTTCAGATATTGATAAGACATAATATTAGTTAGGTATATTTAAAACACATTAATAAGTATGAAAGAAGATTGAAAACAAGATAAATTATCAAGAAGATTTATGTTAAATGTTTAAAAATGTATAGCCTTGTAGAAGAGTCAAATAGATTTTATATATAATGAATAAAATATAACAACCAAATTAAAGATCTAGTGGATTAAAGAAACAGCATATTAGGTGCAAATAAATATCAAATATCAAACTAAAAATACATTTAATTTACCGTTCACCAGGTTTCTGATGTGGCATTTAGGACATTGTTTTGGAAAACATAGGACTCTGAGAACTGAAAAGTTAACATTCTTCAGAATTTAAGACTGAATGGATAAGCACCTTAACCATCTAAATCCCACTGTGCCCTATTTCCATAATAAACAAACTTTTCTTCCCATATCAGAAAGCTCACAAGGTTGTTTTCTTTGTTTTTTGCTTTACTGAAAAACATTAAAACAATCTTGCCAAGAATAAATTAATTCTCTTCATGACCCACAACCAATACCAGTTATGGTTCATAAAGATAACCAGAGTTAGATTCTAGTATTGTCTCCGTGTGAAATATAAGGTATCAATCCAGATTATAAAAGGTCTAGGTACCAAATAATTGGGAGATTTTTCTATTTCACATAAACCAAAACTTTGAAAATAAGTGTGAATAGTGATAATGTTAGAACACAAAGGAGGAACATAATTTTAGATGAAATTGAATTTGTTTATGAGGATGAAATGATCAGAAATTCTGGATGCTATGTGCCAGATTGAAAACCTAGGAGTAGTTCTGTTAGAGTAGCCAGTTAGGCAGACATGATCAAGGTAGGAGAGGGCTCCCACAAAGAACGTCAGGGGACCATAGATGATGGTCAGGCAGCTGTTAAACTATCTTTCTAAAATATTATTTTTGGTTGTAGCTGGCACCAGGGAAATATGGTCTCCCAATAGATAGGAAACAGTGAAACTGGTGATCAGCGTGTTCCCAGTAAGATCTCAGGAGTTGGGTAAGTGGGCTCAAGCATGCACACTAAGAGCTAAAATGGTAGAGTTGCAACAGTATATGATCTTCCTCTAGGAATGCACAACTGGTAAGGAAAAATGCCTCAAGTGAGCATGCACACAACTTCAGTAAACACACCGCACATGCGGCCCCTCTCAAGGGCTGGCAGGCCACTGAACATGTGGGTAGCCTGCCCCAAGGGAAAAACCACGAGAGAATGGAGGAGAAATGCCAACCTCAGAACCATGCCGATGCATGAAATGCAAACCTCAGAACCATGCCAATGCATGAAACCCCACATCCAGGGCTGACTGGGGCACGTGAATCTCTCAAGTCGCCTGCTTGGCCCTCTTCCAACTGCACTTTGGTCCTTTTCGTTCCTGTTCCAAAACTTTTTAATAAACTCGCACCCCTGTCCTAAAACTTGGCTCTGTCTCACCCTCTGCCTTAAACCTACTTCTGCTCTTCAGCCACATTTTTTCCTCTTAGGAGGCAAGGATTAAGTTTGCCACAGACCTGAATGGTTTTACCACTGGTAACCATGTCTAATCCAATGTGATTGGCATTCTAATAAAAAGAGATTAGAATACAGACATGTGCAGACTAAAGGATGATCATGTAATGACACAGGAAGAAGGTAACCATCTACAAGTCAAGTGAAACTTCAGAAGACACCAAATTTGCTGTTACCTTGATTTTGGACTTGTAGCCTTCAGAACTATGAAAAAATTAGTTTCTGTTATTTAAGTCATCCAGTCCATGGTATTTTGTGATGACAGCCCTAATAAACTTATACATATGGGTAGATGGACACTGGCTGGTAGAAACCAATTAGCTTCAGTTACCTACCAGAGACAAGGGGATTTGTATCGTAATATTCATCAGGGACAGAATACAATCTGAACACTTTGATTGACTTGTACATTTGAGGGTAGCAAAAAAATATTCCAGTATCATTAGGCCCAAAATATATCAGATCCCACTAAGGTATCACTTGATATGTATAAGTAAATATTATATCTGCATAAAAATAAACTTGACCTGAGCCTGAAGGTATAAACAGTATCCTCATATAATTCTTAAACCTGTGTTCTCATGTCACTAAACCAGGGCCTCTTAATTAAAGGTTAGAATGGGAACTTTGAGAATAGACTCTATGTTTTCTTATATTTTTCCCAAAGAAATATGTGCTTATTTACCATAGAGACTTTATTAATGAGAAGGCTAATATTACACATTTCAATAATCACATAGATAAGTTTAGCCCCTTTCCTTCAGTCATCCCAATGAACACTTAATGGATTAATAAAAGTATTGCCATGATTCCATGGTGAAAAGTACTGGGACTGCAGATGGAATCAATAATATGGGCTTCATGTCACCAAGATTTACCTTGTTCTTGCCATTATTAAGTGCCTAATTTGCAAAAAGTCCAACACCAACTTTCCACATATTACAATACACATGGGTGACCAATAAACCACCAGGTAGCAGGTTGCAAACAATATTATATGCTTTCAATCATTTAAGGCCAGTAAGTTTATATCATTAAAACAATATTTTGGGGTTTACTTGATGTCCTCAAATCTCTTCCAGTAAAACTATCTGTAGAATTGCTGATGATCTTAATCACCATGAATCCTATAGAACATTGATTCTTATCATGTACAAGAAGAGTAACGCCATTGACTGAACCTAGTAAAATCTTTGATTACTGTATAACTCATTCACAAGAAGAATAGACGTTTTTACAACCTTTGCTAAGATTCAGTACAAGATGGCAATTTGCAACTGTGGGTTGCCATCTTACCAGATATGCAATGTGCTTTGAACCAGAAACCAATTGGTATGGTTGGGCTGTGTCCCCACCCAAATCTCATCTTAACTTGTTCCCACAATATCCACATGCTCTTATGATAGTGAGTGAGTTCTCACAAGATCTGATGATTTTATAAGGGTCTTCCCCCTTCACTCGGCTCTCATTCTTCTCCTTCCTGCTATCATGTGAAGGAGGACGTGTTTGCCTTCCCTTCTACCACGATTGTAAGTTTCCTGAGGCTTCCCTAGTCATGCTGAACTGTGAGTCAATTAAAGTTCTTTCCTTTATAACTTATCCAGTCTCAGACAATTCTTTATAGCAATGTGAGAATGGAATAATATGCCAGTGCCCTGTGATGTTTCCCTCATAGCCGGAATATACAGGTTTAGGATGGAAGAATATGGAATTGTTATTGGCATTTTTCACTAGAAGTTTAATGGTTTAATATTTCATTTGCAGATTTATTTGCTTATTGTTTCCATGACTTCTGGTTTTGATGGTATGGAGAAGGGGGTCTGTTATGTATGGCCTCTGGGCCAAACATGGTCTACCACCTGTTTTTGTTTTTATTTTTTAAAATTTTATTGGAATACAGCCAAATCTATTTATTTATGTGTTGTCTATGGCTGATTTCATGAAATAACAGTAGAACTGAGTAGCTGTAAAAGGGAACATATGGCTTGGAAAACATACAATATTTACTATCTGGCCCTTTACAGAAATAGCTTGCCTACCTCTTATTTACATTTCATAGCAATCTAAGGTGGTAATACACTGAAAGTGTTCATTAAGGAATACAACAATGACTTCATTGAAATAAAAGCTAAAGTATCATTTTCTAATATGGGGTTCTTGATGCCACTGTTTGAACTGGTAAAATGAGGGTTTTCAGTGTTGAACTAGTTAATTATACAGATTATAATAGTATAATAGTAAATGTGTTTGCTGCTATGTAATGAAGAAAGACAGTCTAGTTGGAACTGAATAATACAAGTATATGAAAGACTTCATAAATTCCTGTCAACAGGACAGGACCAGGATAAAATCACCTTTTTCAGGAATGAAGGTTTCAATCACCTCATTCAATAACACACTTAGATCAACTGAGGTGGTGGATATGGAAAAAGAACATATGGCAGGATAGTGGAGAAAGAAGGCATTAAATACCAATTGTATAGCTTTGTGACCAAATGTAAAGCTAAGTATTAAATTAACTACTCATATAGTTTCTTCACAGTAACATATTTATGTATTTATCTGAAATAATTTCCCTTTTCCTCAGTTGACTTCTGTAGCTATATTATATACTTATTTAAGTCGTGTTAAACTTTAAAATTTGTATGTGGAATTGTATAAAGATAGAATTAGGATGAGACAAGTGGAAAATGGATATTGCTTAGAAATCCTGACAAACAAATCATTAAGACGTTTATAAGATGTGAGTTATCAAGACCATTTCACTAACGCTACCCTTCATATTTTGTTTCCTTTACCATATAGAATGCACATAAATGATACCACATAGAATTAACTGAGAAGCCTCTGTTTAAGTCATGTTTAATATAGTGGCCTAAAAAGTCAGCACATATTTTATTTTCAGTTTTAAAATGATGCTTAAAATACGTAAGGGAGAAACATATTTCTGTGGTAGCTCTGGGTATTATAATTGTTTGGAAGTTGAAGTATGGTAGATAGGTGTACAAGCATGTTGGACAGCAAAGAGTAGGGCTCTAGTAGACATTTGCTATGCATAAAGGCTCCTGACATCTCTTGAACACCCTTTAATATGAAGGATGGCCCTACCCTCATTATAGGCCAGTGTTATTCTTTTACAGAATCCTTTGAAGGTAGGACACAGACAATTTAGGCCACCCAATCAGATACAACAGAATGGAGTTTTGATTCAGAACAGAGTAATGTAAACAAGCTTGGACCACATGGAATTCATTATTTGGCTAAGTGATAGGGGCTTTAGTAACTCAAGTTTTGTGCTGAGCTAGTGATTGCAGGTTATAGGCAGCCTTAAGGCAAGTTTGGGCAATGTTTTTAAGGACTTATGGAGAATCTCTGAGTTGCATGTTAAAAATCAAAACAAAATACCAAAACCAAACAAACAAAAACATTTTTTCTCCCTGAACTAGATAGAGTGGTGTTTGTTTCTGACATGTAACCGTCCTGGGTGAAAAAATACCTTTGCATTGTAGCATTAGCTAAGTGGACAATAATGAGCTAAATAGCATATTTATAGGGTAACTAATGACTTTATGCACAATTTCTATTACATTAACTTCTTTGTAAATAATTTCTATATATATGAAAAGAAAAAATAAGAAAGTTTTTGATCCACCTCAGTAGAAATATATTATGTTTTATCGATCATTAAATATCTTATTCATGTGTTATTTGATATAAGTATCATAAATTACTGGCACATTATTTGACTCATATTAGAAATGTGGCTTGAGTAATTGAAGCAGAAATTGATAAAAATAAACTTGTCAAATTAGTCCCATTGGCACAATTTACCTCGAGCCACATGCTCATTTTATTTTACTTTATGACAATTTGTCTTCTTTTAGTTAAATTTTCCTATTTGCATGTTTTAAAAATGGGAAAATATTTGGTAAAGGATTAACAGTAATCTTGAATATAGTGTTTCATTTACATTTTCTTTTATGTGCATAAATCTAGCCTTCCAATGGTCTGTATTCCAATGGATTGCTGTTTTTTAATCTAGTTTATAAAAGATATTTGTAAAATTGTAAACATGGATACATAGTATTGTGGCAGTTTTCCAAATTAATGAACTAATTAACACACCACACCATATGTGACAGTCTACCAATATATGCATCAATGAAATAGCATCTGTTTTTTCTTGTGTGTGTGTGTGAGTGTATGTGTGTATATGTATGTATCTGTGTGTCTCTGTAGGTCCATTTTTGTTGCGGAGAGAGAATGATCAGGAAGATACAATAGAGATATTAATCCCTTTAATTATATTTAAAATTTTAAGACATCTATAAGACTGTACAATGAAAAGGCAATGTTATTCAAAGATGCTTTATATCTTTGGAAATTTTATTTTATTTTTATTTTTTAGAGATGGGATCTTGCTCTATTGCCCAGGCTGGAGTGCAGTGGTGTGATCATTGCTTACTGCAGCCTCGGACTCCTGTGCTCAAGTGATTCCCTCTCCTCAGCTTCCCAAGTACCTGAGGTTACAAGTGCATGCTATCACACCCAGTGAAAATTTTATTTTATTTTTTGTATAGACAAAGTCTTGTTATGCTGCCCAGGCTGGTCTCCAACTTCTGACCTCAAATGATGTGTCTGCCTTGACCTCCAAAAGTTCTGGATTACCGGCATGAGCCACCATGCCTGGCTAAAATACTTAAATATAATTTTAGCCTTCCCTAAGTCCTTATTATTGAGAGCAAATACAGCCAATGTAAATTAGCATATTTTTATATTTCATACAACTATAAAGCAATTAACAGGTTTTTATAATTAAATTTTTCAATAATAAGATATTAAGCCAAATATATAATCTAATTAGCTTTTAAAGTAGAAAAAGCTCTTAATTTTAAAAAATTGTTTTTATATTTTTAGAATTATGGGAAAACAATTATGCTCAACATTTAAAAATGTATTAGCTTAGCTTCTGATAAAGTTTAATTAAGTGACTCTTTTTAAAATAAAATCAGGACTTTAAACTGTCAGCCTCAAACCCTTTAGAAAGAGAGCAGTTTTCAAATAAATAAATATGAGAGGTTGAAATTTCCCTTCAATGGATCTGAGCATTTTGATTAATAAAACTTTATTCTTCTATCTATTATGCATATTCTGTAGTTACCCAACAAGCAGGATCTTATGGAAAATAGAAATTCATTATAAGTACAAGGACCATAAAACTGTAACAAAAAATAAATTGTGACTATCTACGGCTATGCAAATGGAAACAGGAAAATAAAGTTGAGATGTTGAAAGATGATGTAAAAGCCCTTAAAATCTACTGCTCAGCTTGATAATAAAACAACATTTCAGAAGGTAAGACAGGCAAAGTGCTGTTTCCTAAACACATGCCTCCTCATCAATATCTCAAATTGTATGTCTGCAGTTCCCACACACACACAAAAAAAAGCAAAAACAAACAACCAAAAACTGGCAGGAAGTAGAGAGCAATGAGAGGTAACACAATGCCCTTTCTATGGCATGGTGCAAATCCAAACGTTCACTCATATTATTTTTAGGATAACAAAATTATTTGGGTCATTAATATATTACTTATTTGTCCAAGAGAAAAAAAATGGGAGATAATTGTGTTGTTTTATTTTTTTTCTGTAACACAGATGTATGTATTTTATATTCTAAAGTTTAGTACCCCTCTTGTATAAGATTATAAATAATAAATAATAATAACATAAGGCTTTCAGGGCTTAAATCTATATTCCAGAAACAAACAAACAAACAAACAAACCCAGTAAACTTCCAAAGTACAAAATGTCTAAAAATAAAATAGAAGCATGTTCACATAACTTCATAAAACTCAGTGGTCGAGATAGTGTGTTAATTCATTTGTGCTGCTATAACAAAATATGTAGGACTGGGTAATTTTTTTTGTTTTTGAGGCGGTGTCTTGCTCTGTTGCCCAGGCTGGAGTGCAGATCTTGGCTCACTGCAACCTCTTCCTTCTGGATTCAAGCAATTCTCTGCCTCAGCCTCCCGAGTAGCTGGGATTACAGGCGCCTGCCACCACGCCTGGCTAATTTTTGTATTTTTAGTAGAGACAAGGTTTCACCATCTTGGCCAGGCTGTTATTGAACTTCTGGCCTCACAATCCACAAAACTGGGTAATTTCTAAATAATAAAAATGTATTTCTTTCTGTTCTGGAGCCTGGGAAGTCCAAGATTAAAGTGGCAGAGGGTTCAGTGCTTGGTGCCGGCTGCTCTCTCTGTTTCAAGATGGTGCCTTGAGACTGTGTACTCCAGAGGGAAAAAAATGCAGTGTTCTCACATGGCAAAAGGGACAAATGGGGCAAACTTACTCCCTCAAGCCCTTTCAAGAGGCATTCATCCATTCACGAGGGCAGAGACCTCATGGCCTTATCACCTTCTAAAGATACCTTTTAATACTGTTCACTGGATATTAAATTTCAAGGTGGATTTTGCAGGGGACACAAATATTCAAACCACAGCAGATACAGAGGAGGATAATTGAATATTCTGACCTTTGTCACATATCTAATACAGTTTTTCTATGTAATTTAATATTTCTTTCTGGAATCTGTATAAAATATTTTCATCATTCTAGAATACCTGTTTTTCCAAAACTGCTCTTTTAAAAACTTTGTAGTTTTTCATTTACAGATTTTCATATCCTAAAATTATTTCAGAAAGGAAAGAACCTGAAGAAATAAAAATCTTAGTAAAATGAAATTAAAAATGACATATTTTTAAAGATGGGGTTATTAAACTTACATAATTCCTTATCCATAAATGGTTCACAGAAGTAAAGGTCTGGAAGTCAATTTGGAAGTCAGAGAACTCCTAATAGGTATTTCTCCCTATCAAAAATCTCAGCTTTCAGTGGGAAAGGGTACTAGCTTAGTCCTGCAGGATCAAATTTTGGAAGACTTGCTAGGATGTGTTTAGTTAGGAAGGATATTGTGGACATCAGCAATGAGTTTCAACCAGCAATCAGCTGAAATCTACCATAGTTTTTCTGAGGTAGGTTAGATAGGTTGGTCACAGCCTCCCTTAAGAGGGAAGAAACTTGCCAAATAGATAGAACAAACTTCCCAACAGTGCAAATCCCCTATCTGGGACCCCTGGTTGGAACATCCTGCAGCAAGGAAGATGAAGAGCCGAAGGGAAAATCCCCAAATTCACACAAGCACAGAAACCCATGATTAGTGTCCTTGGGTTGACCTAAGTTCATCATACTAGTAAGAAACACACCTCTGGTTGGAGAATTAAGATGCTAATAAGACATGTGATGTATGTTCTAGAATGTACAATTGCGCATGAACACTCAGGAGACCACCTGAAGCATGCGTAATGGAAAGACTCATCCTGGCCCTTTTATAATCATATAAGCTTCCCATAAAGGGAATTTTCCCAGCGTGAGATGGGATTGTCTCATTCTGGAGCAGCCCATTCTGACCCAGCTATCAGAATGTCCTTCACGGTGCAATAAACTTCTTTGCCTACTTTTACTTTAGACTTGCTCTCTAAGTCAAGAACCTGAACCGGCCCACTGACATTTCTACCATCTGTGTTGGCAAACAAAACAAAACAAAAACAACAACAATGACAACAACAACAAAAACCCAAGTGTTACATTTTCCAAAAGATAGAGAAATAAGTTTGTAACTCAGGACTAGAAAGTGATAGGAATATCACAAAATACATAGAATATACTGAGAATAGACTAGGAATGTATAAGCGGGATCTGCAAGCCAGGTAGTAATGTAAAAGCAGACTTGGAAAGTCTATCTGAGAAGAATAAATTCAGAATTGCATTGATACTGTGAAAAAATCATCTCAAATATGTGAAAGATGATGATAGCTATGGAAGAGAGAGAAAATATTCATCATAAGAAGCGTTCATGAGAATTGGAATGGAAATAGTAAAAAATAACTAATTGAATATAATTATTGACCAGGTAGAAAATAAAGAACCTAATTATACAGATTGAAAGGCTCATCAAAGCTCAACTAACATAAATTAAGTAAACACTGCACTGGATTGAATAATCCCTTCCCCTGCCCCATGTTTGTGTCCACCCAAAACCTCAGAATGTGAGGAAATAGGGTTACTTGGCGACTGGGTTTTGCAGAAATAACAAAATGAAGATGAGATCATACTGGAATCAAGTAGGCCATAATTAATGACTTATTAGAATAGGGAAATTTGGACACAGACTCAGAGGAGTCAAACAGGGAAGAAGACCATGAAGACAAGCAGAAATTAGAGTGATGATGCTGCTACAAACTAAGGAATGCCAGGGACTGCTGGCAGTGGCCAGAAGCTAGAAAGAGGCTTGGAAGGGTTATCTAAAGCCCTCAAAGGGAGCATGGCCATGCTGACACCTTTATTCAGACATGTTTTCATGGAAACAGTTGGAAACATATGAGGAATAGGAAGGCAAGATATTTTTGTAGTATATGAAATTAAAATTTAATTGTACCAGGTGATGATTTTGTCAAATGATTCAATATAAATGTATTATCTTTATATACCCTGGTTCTATAAATAAATAAAATTATTTAAAATTAAATAAAAAATTGTTATCAGTGACAATCTTTTTTTATAATTGCAACATCAAAGGCTTTGTCCTTTTCAGTCTTATAAAGTGTATGAGTATATTTAGAATTATACACAATTATACACTGCTGATAATAATGGTATAATGGTTTGTTCACAAATGAAAGCTATAATTTTTATTCATGATGTTGGACAATAACAGCAAACTTTGTTATACTCTTGGTCCAGTGTTAAAATTAATGCTACCTTTCATTATTTTATTTTATTTTTATGTTTATTTATTTATTTTTTGAGACAGGGTCTCGCTCTCTTCCCCAGGCTGGAGTGCAATGGCTCCATCTCAGCTCACTGCAACCTCCACCTCCGGGTTCAAAAGATTCTCCTTTTGAGAATAGAAGTACAGAGCAATGAGAGGTGACACAATGCCCTTTCTATGGCATGGTGCAAGCCCAGACTTTCAGTCATATTATTTTTAAGATAACAAAATTACTTGTGTCATTAACATATTACTTGTTTATCCAAGAGAAAAAGATGGGAGATAATTGCATTTTTTTTTTCTGTAACACAGATGTATGTATATTCTAGAGTTTAGTACCCTTCTTGCATAAGATTACAAATAATAAATAATAATAATAATATGAGGCTTTGGGGCTTAAATCTATATTCCAGAAAAAAAAAAAAAACCAGTAAGCTTTCAAAGTACATAATGTCAAAAGACAAAATGGGAGCGGCTTGGCTGTCTCAGCATCCCAAGTAGCTAGGGCTACTGGCATATGCTACCACGTCTAGCTAATTTTTGTATTTTTTGGTTGAGACAGGGTTTCACAATGTTGGCCAGGCTGGTCTCCAACTCCTGACTTTAAGTGGTTCACTCACCTTGGCCTCCAAAAGTACTAGGATTACAGGCATGAGCCACCTCACCTGGCCATTTTATTCAATAATATTGATTTGTAACATTTTCTTAACTAAACTTAATTTTAAGATGCCTTTTCCAAACCTAGAAGCGAAGTTTTGATGCAATTCTTTATTATACCTGTTTTTCATTGCTATTGTTTAAACTCCTCATAGACTTTCTAATATCATATGGCTTTATTTGAATAAAAAATTAAAAGTAACTTGTTAAATATGAATTTGACAAATACTAATATTAGTCAAATCATTTTCTTTGGCTAGAAGTATTGATCATCAATTTAAAGAGTGATGTCTGTTGCAAAATATGCATGGAATTTAGAGTGCTTTTATTTGACAATTAAATCAAAATTCTACCCACATATAATTAAATCCTGTCAATAAATAATATTATATATAAGTCAAACTGATTAAGCATTTGTGCTTTTAGTCTTATAAGTTTAGTTTACATAGTTGTGTTTGCTTTAGTAAATAATGTCAATGCTAAAAGCAATGTATATGAAATGGTAGAATTTCAATATAAGTTCTTACATTAAAAAACGCTGAGTGCATTGTAGGTAAACACAGAGATAGCATATGCAATGTAAAAACTTTTTTTACTTCATTATCATAGTACATTTTAAAGCATTTTCAAATTTGTAAAGAATTGTCTCAATTATAGCAGTGAAGAAAGTGGGAACTAGAGTTACAGTGTCTGAGTTCAAACCAAGTTTTACTGTTTATTAACTATGCGACATGGACAAGATATTTAAACACTGCCTCAGAGTTCTCATTAGTAAAATTGGAAAAATAATAGGTCATTTTACATAGAATTGAAGTAATGCTTAAAAAAGATAATACCTGCAAAGCATTTATAATGGTAATGATTAAACAAATTTTTACTAGTTTTTGTTTACTTATGTCATAATATGTTTCAATATTTATGTTTACATATTTCAATAACATGTAAGTGAGGCACAGCTTTAACTATTCATGACAGATCAGGCTAGTTGAATGGAATTATACTCATGACTAGAGAGCATGAATATTTGTTCTGTTAATTTATACAACAACGTTGCTTAGGTGGTGTCACTATTCTGACACAGATATACATGGAAGAGGGAGACAGGAAACTCCTAACTCTGAAGTAAATAAATAGCCAAATGTTAAACGCCATATTTCTTACAAAATTTATTAATTCATTGGATTTTAATAAATTTTAACTTGATTTTTTACTGACAGTTCAGTGAAAGCATACTTTGTGCTAGATGTATGTATACATAACTTCAATAATATCAGTATGTAATATCCCATTATATCAATATAACTTCTTTGAAATGTTTAAAGTTATTTCTCTCATTAATATTTAAACAAATAATTAAATATTAATATAAAATAAATTATGCAATGGGCATTTTACTCTTTCAAACTTATAAATATATAAAGAAAATTAGAAATTAGCATAAATAGTATGAGGAAACAACAGAAGTCAGGAGCAATAGGTTGGAGACTAATTATTTATTCATTAGTTTCAAAACAGCAAATTTGAAACTGAGGCAAATTAGAGTGCAATGCTTGTGGTAATTTTTCCAGGCTGTTGTGAATTATCTATTATTTCTTTGACTACAAAGGGGCACAAGAAAATTTTTTTGGAGTGATGTAATTCTATCTTGGTTATGTTAGTCATTATATGACTATGCATTTATCACTCCTCACCGAACTTTATGCTGAAAGAGCAAATTTTACTACATGTAAATTGTATCTTAATTTTTTAAAGTCTCCTGGATATTGAAAGATAGGGTTGAGATGGCATCCTTCTGTGGGAACCAGAACCTTAAAATCTTAAAAAATAACTGACTTATTACTGAAATTAATGGCCCAGAATTGCTAAATTAAGGATTCCATTTAAGACAATCTTTGAAGAGTCTGTTTGGTTCTGCTAAATTCGATTTTTATTTTCCCTGTCTCATGCTGGCATCCACTGTCGTAGTTAAAATTTTGTATAAAAATGTTGCTTTTCAATTTTTTGTTTGGACTTCTCATTAGCCAGAGTTTATCAATAGCATATTGTTCTATTTTTACTCCTTTCTTTTCTTTTTACGCTGGTGAGCTATACAAATCATTTCAAGAAAATGAGCTCTGCTAATGCCTTCTGGAGCATGTCCCTTGTAAAACTGCAACTTACTAATAAAACACAGTGGATTTGATAACCTCCAGTGCTTTGAGAAAGAGAAAATGTGAGCTGAATATTTTGGCCATTTTTACAGTATTCTCTATTCTTCAGATGTCCTTTCTTCACTGATTATTTACTTCCCCTTTCCTAAAAATCACACAAAAGAAAATGGTAAACTTGCTATAGCAGCTAGGTTAATAAGGCTCTTTGCTCACTATTCTCTGGGGTGTTTTTATGAAAAATAAATAAATAAAACTTGGCCAAATAATTGCACATTGATCAAGAACCTAAAAGTGGTATAGTGGTGACTAAAATAATGGATAAAGTGGAGCCATTAGCATGCTCAGTGCCTGTCTACTAAGCAGGAATTTATATCCACAGTGTAGTACAAAGATGGCCCATAAAAAATGGAATGTGCCACTATAGAGATATGAGTAAACTGCTAAATGAGTTGATCTCTGTAATTTTTTTAACCACATCTGAACACTATTTTAGACTTTTAACTCTCCTTAAATAATATATATGCTCATTTACTAATTTTTGATATACAAACATAATTTCTGACATTTTGGTAAACAAAGAAAATATGCTTTTTTATT
This sequence comes from Homo sapiens, assembly GCF_000001405.40. NCBI lineage: Eukaryota > Metazoa > Chordata > Mammalia > Primates > Hominidae > Homo > Homo sapiens. The sequence continues at coordinate 80,089,049 of NC_000003.12, forward strand.
CCAGGTCAAATTATGAAGACAAGAGGAAAGACTTAGAGCAAATAACAGGATATATGTCTATCACCTTAGAACATTTTTAGAAAGGAGAATGCAATTATTTATAATGAAGTTACATCTTTTATAGGACAGTAGATACTCTTGTGGTTTCATTGTCTAATATAATGTAATTTTAGGTTAGTTACATATTATTGCTCATTTCATGAAAATGAAGAAGAAGTAGTCCCTTTATTTTTCTTTTTCTTTTTTTTAAGATAGGATCTCACTGTGTCATCCAGGCTGCAACGCAATGGTGCAATCATAACTCACTGCAATCTCCAACTCCTGGGCTCAAGAGATCCTCCCACCTTAGCATCGCAAGTAGCTAGGACTACAGGTGTGCACCGCCTGCCCACCTAATTTTTAAAAATTTTGGTAGAGACGGGGTCTCACATCAAACCCAGGCTGGTCTTGAACTCCTGGCCTCAAGCAATCCTCCCACCTTGGCCTCCCGAAGTGCTGGGATTACAGGCATAAGCCAGCCTGACTAGCGTGAAATATTTCCTTTTCCACTCACATAATAAGCTACCAAGAGAATGTTATAGTTAAGGTAGTTCATTTTCCATTTCTAACCAATTAATATAATTTATATTCCATAAATTCAATTGCAATATATCATGTGATTTATACATTTAGTCAAACATGTATAAAACATATAATATATAAATACAGTGTGTGTAAATATATGTAAATGTGTATTATACAGTGAGATTTTTAGAAAAAAATATACCAAACTTTTGAATTTACAGATGGCATTTATATTCAAAGTAATCCATTGTATTCTTCCCAGTTAGAAGATATACAGATATTAATTTAATTACTTTAAAATAGATAACATTAAATAACCATTTAGAATGGGATATAAAATTACATATTTCAATTAAAAATTGTAAGAAAGGTTTAAAAACCTATTACTTGCATGTTTTTTCTGTTCTTCTTTTAGCATAACATGCAAATGCATGTCAATTTTATCTGTTTCAAATTAGATGCCTTAGTAACCATACCTATTTCAAAGCTCGAGACAATGTCAAGGCACAGATCTAAACTTTGGGGCTTCCATCTGAGCTTTCAGGGTTTTTTCCAACTTGTTAAATGGTGGGCATTGTTTTTTTTTTAAACAAAGACTATCCTGGTCGTTTGTAACGAAATACACACACACACACACACACACACACACACACACACACACACACAGATTCACAAATTCTTCTTGAAAAAAATTGTGTGGCAAGAAATCACTTATGATAAAATCTCATGATGTAATTGAAAACAACTTTCTTTTCCCTAAAGGAACTAATTTTCATATAGTGAAATAATGAAGCATTAGACTCACCTTGGTAAGATTCAAGCTGATCTTTTAAAATCAATTTCTACTGAAAGCAATGAATATAAATAGTGTAGCAAAGGAAAACACAACAAAAATGTATAAACTCATTAACATGCCCTCTGCAAACATACATTTAAAGCATGGTCTCAGTTTTTTACAACAGCAGAATAGCACAAAAAATATACAGCAATAATTGATTAAATCAATGTGATTGCTATTTAACTTTACACATTCGCCAGAGTTTTAGATAAGATTACTTTTCTAGTTAAATGTCATCTGCCATAAAATTGTTGAAGAAAAGAAAAAACAAACTTGAATCCAATGAAGCTAATATAAGTTTGAAAAGTTCTTCAGTGGAAAAATGGATTGTCTTGCATTTCCTCTTATAAATTAATTATTTATAAAATATCACCAAATGGACATACTTGAAATAATTATTTTTATTTACATATTTTTAAAAAATACTCCAACATTTTAAAATCATCTCCTTTCAAATTTTAAGAATTTATGGATATTTAATGAATGATATCTTAACATTGTCCGGAAGGATGACACTTTCAAAAATTAGTTACTACGGGACTAGAAGCATAGCTCCTGCCAGTGTGGTAACTATACAGTTTAAGTATTATCATCATAAATTATAATAAGAAAAAATTTTCAAGAGGTATCATAGAGTAGAATCGTAAGCAATAAGTTGAAAATAAAAATCTTCAAACTTTGCTTCTTATTGCCACATTTAATAAAATTATAGGTTTTTCTATAACAAAACATTTTAAACACTTTCCTCAATTTAAAATGATATAAATATACATTTATCATCCTTTAAAACTCTTCAATATGGTTACGTTTATAGCAAGTAAATAAAATGCAAAATTACCTAAGCAAAAATAAAACTATTTGTCCACTGAAATAATTTGGGCAGTTATATATTTCAATGAATATTTTATGATATTTTTACTTATTGTTTTAGTTTCCCACTCAAATTAATAGCTAACTACAAAAAATGATGAATCTATGATTATCTGGTAAAAGTTTTACAGAGATGTATAATAGCTATTTTAACCTATAACTTATTCTCTATTATTTTTCAGTATTTTGTATCAAGACTTCTTTTATGGTCCATCACATAATCTTCAACCTCTGCCTTCCAGGCTCAAGGGATTCTCCCACCTCAGCCTGCCAAAGTAGCTGGGACCACAGGCACACGCCACCACACCAGGCTAATTTTAGTATTTTTTGCAGAGACGGGATTTCGTCATCTTGCCCAGGCTTGTCTTGATCTCCTGAGCTCAGGTGATATGCCCACCTCAGCCTCCCAAAATGCTGGGATTACAGCTGCGAGCCTCTGTGCCCAGCCAACATAGTCTTTCTTTTCTAACTTCATGTTCTATATGTTTGAGTGCAGCTTTCTATTAATATCAATTAGGTAAAGTTAGTTTATAGAGTTGTTAGATATTCTATATTCTTACTAATTTTGTCTTCTTGTTACAGCAGTTATTGAGAGACAGAAATATTAAACTCTTCAATATGATAATGTGCATTTTATAAAATATTCATTTGTATGAATTTCAGAAAGTTAATATATACATATGAACTTTATGTATGTGTCTGTGTGTATCTATCTTCTATCTACCCATATCTACCTATCTCTATCTACCTATCTATCTACCTACCACCTTTCAGGAACTGATAGTTTTGACAGAATTGAAGGAGACCATAGACCTACTTCAATCCTTTCATTAGTCAGGTATGGCCTGAATATGGACAGTTTAACTATTTTGCCCCAAATTAAAAAGATAATTAAAAAAATAAAGCCAAGCATCTCTGAAATTGGTTTCCTCTTATACTCCTTTGGATAAGCCATTTAAATATTATGTATTTTATGTGTGCATAGCCCAATATTTATATTCATGTCACTCCCTTTTAATAGTTTGTCAGTATTTGAATATATTCACCTGTATTTTATATATATTCTTGTTCATATTTGTATATCATCAATTTTTATTTGATGTCTATGTGTACGTGTGTGTTTGTGTGTGTGTGTGGCGCTCACCCAGAAAGATGGATATTAGATCCTTTATAGTAGAGAAGAAAGAGTGCTAGAGTTCAAATAATAAAACATAACATCTCTTTTAAAATGAATGTTTCAGTATTGTGCAAATATGATACTTTCTGGACTTAAGAACTTCCCCTGTATTATAATAGAACTGAAGTAGGCAATTGTACCAACTGTAAAACTCATAGTTTAAGAATACTTACTATGGATTAAGTACTGTTCCAAAAACTTTATATGAATTAACCCATTTAATCCTCACCTAATATTTACGTAGTGACCATCATGATCATTTTTATTTTACACATGAGGAAAATAAACTCAGAATCAAATGACTTGTGAGAAGGCAAGGTGGAGGCCAGACACGGTGGCTCAGGCCTGTAATCCCAGCACTTTGGGAGGCTGAGGCAGGAGGATCCCCTGAGTTCGAGAGTTTGAGACCAGCCTGACCAACATGGAGAAACCCTGTCTCTACTAAAAACACAAAAATTAGCCAGTCGTGGTGGTGCATGCCTGTAATCCTAGCTACTCGGGAGTCTGAGGCAAGAGAATTGCTTGAACCTATGATGTGGAGGTTACGGTGAGCCAAGATGGCGCCATTGCACTCCAGCCTGGGCAACAAGAGTAAAGCTCTGCCTCAAAAAAAAAAAAAAAAAAAAAAAAAAAAAAAAAAAAAGAAGGCAATGTGGAATTAAATATAAGCAATATGTCTCCCCAAGCTAGGATCTCAACCACTGTGTGATATATACATTACTAAAAATATCTAAGGTCTGGTTCTCTGGTGAATTTGTCAGTTTTTATCTGATTTATATACAAAATTAGAACATACAAAAATTAAGAACATTACCTTACACTTCTAAAAGTTTGACATATTTCAATCTTTTAACTGCAATTCTGTGTCTCAAAATCTGTTAATATAACCAAATAATTAGTTACTCCCTTTAATGTGACTGGACTAATAAGGCTTCTAAACCATATTTCTTTGTTTTCTTGGTTGACTTGACTCAATAAGCATCTCAGTAAATACTTAAATAATCATATTAGGAATACGTTTCAGGTAAAATGTTTACAAATATTTTTTGGAAGTATATAATACTTTTTTCAAACTTTTGGCATTTAAAAAGTTTTATAAGGTCCTCAAATGTTCCTAGTAATGTGTGTTAGTTTATTGTTGCCAGAATAAAATTTTATGATCTTATAGGTTCATATTCTAAAAGAATAAATTGTTCATCAAAAATTTGTATGGCTTTGTCAAACAAAATACTTTAATAGGGAAGAATAGCAGATAATATACAATTAAAATAATTTATATAAAATACCTACTAAATAATAATCAAACTTCATAGTGAATAATTTTGATTTTTAATTCAGTTAAGCTACAAATTAAATGTAATTCAAAAATACCTATTAACTCTCTACATGTTTTTTAATGAATACTATCTTTGTGTTCTTAGAATTTCTTATTTTTATTCAAGGCCAAAATTTAATTAAGAGAATGTAAGTAGTAGCTCAGTGTTTACTATATGCACCACTATGAATAACTTCTCTCAGTTAGGATACTATTATCTAGGCTAATTTAGAAGCAATTTCAAAATCAATATTGAGACCCCTCCAGGAAAACAGGCTACTTTTTCATAGCAACCCCTGACTGTCACATTGCGCTTTAAACTACTTCTGCCACTTGAGACAGGTGAAGGTCCTTATTGGGTCTCCATGTACAGCTGGGTGTGTGTATATACAAGGCTGTGAATATACACACATGTATTATGTAACATACACATGATGCACAGTAGAGAAATAATTATTTATAGTTTGCATAGATCACACTTAATAAGTTGTTGAACCTGGAATTTTTTATTTTGGCATTTTATCCCTAAATGACTTAACAGTGTCAGGTTTCAAAATCATACTGTACTTCTCTTGATTCATAGAGGAATAGACAGCAGAGAAATAAAGTATATTAAGATAATCAGCAAGCTGGAGGGTATAGAATAGAAGAGGGGATTGCAAAGCAGGGGGCAAACAAAACAAAATAAATTTTTAAAATATCATTAAGTACAGAAAGGTAGTGGTGGTGGGGGTTGGGTGAATGCTGGAAGAAACAAAAATTGCCACAAGCAAGGTTTACCATAATCATTCAAGGAAAGCTTGTGCCAGGATATTAAATCTGCCTAGGAGACCTGAGCTCAAGGCCTTTTGGGGAAGTAAAGCAGAAGAGATAGACAATGATGTGGTAACATAACACCAGAGGACTCAGATCTCATAAGATGTGAAGACATGATAACAAAAAGAGTGAAAGAAAATAATACACCCTGCCGGAATCCAGAAAATGTGCATAAATTTTTTTTTGATTAAAAACATCTTAGTCATTTTGTCTCTGTAGTCTTTAGGGAATTGCTGAATGTGTTTTATATCAGCATATCAACAATGCAATGGCACTAGAGATTTCCATTAAGGTTAGAATTACCAAATACTTATTTAAATATACCAATATTCAAAAATTTCAAAGGGACATTCATGAGTTTCATTTTTGCAAAGCAGTGATGCAGGCAGATACGTTTTGTTGTGTTTAACCTTGTGCAAAATATGATTTATCTGGAACAGACCAGGGATGGGTAGGTGGGGAGTGGGGTGGGGGGATGCCAAGAAGGGTGACACCCCTTCAAAACCTGATATGGGCATTTTATAATCTTCTTACTGAATTCTGACTTTAATTTGTATCCTGTTTCATAAAAATTAAGTTTATAAGTTCAATTTTATATTTTAGTTTAAGTTCTCTTATTTTTTTTCTTTAGTTGTTGAACTATGTCTAACAATTTTTTTTTTTTATTTTACTATGTCACTCATTTCATGCTGTGTCTGGCCAGGCAAGTGACATAAAATACCTCCTAAAGTGTAGAGAAATTGCAGACAAGTAAGTTTCATTAAATAATTTGCTCACCATATGTAGACCCGTATCCTTGAGTGCTACACAACTCAGGTTTGAGGTTAATTAGCTCACCAGTTTGGAGAGAAGTAAATGTTGGCTTGTCCCTACACTACATGTAGGAAACAGGAAACCGTGTTCTTATAGCACCCTACTAAGAAAGAAAAGGTTTTGTTTGTTTTTTTTTAATGCTTCATAAAAATGGGCGTATTTACGCATCCATTCATTTATTATGACTTCTGTGCCTTTGGATAAACAAAGTTAAGACTATTGTTTGCTATCTTTTCTAATTTCTAGTTGGTGTCCATTTTTATACAGTCACATTTTCTTAAAACGTTTATGCCTGGGGGCATGATTTACTTTGAATGTGGTGCAAGTTGAATTAAAATTATGTTTACTATTGGCAAGGTTAGAAGATGAAATTCTACTTACAAATCTATGCCCCTTAATTATTTAATTGGGATCATCTTCATTAAAATTATTGGCACATAAAGTTATTTTTTGAGAGGAGAAACTATTTGGGCTAAAATATAACACTTATGAAAAATAAACACATCTTCCCTTACCAAACATGGCAATATATTGAGAATTTCTTCTGAGTGGCTATTCCCAGAATTTTTATTTTCCAAGTTTAGGCAAATAATTTGAAAAGAAAAAAAAACTATCCTTCATATTATGAGTAAAAGTGACAATAAAAATTAATCCAGCTTACAATTAACAAATTACCAACTACCTTTACTAACATGTGCATCTTTATCATTCTAATTTTTGCAAATGTTTTCATTTTAGAGCTCTTCCAATTATTTTAACATGATTTAGTGCTAATTGATTTTACTCAAACAATTCAGAAAAATGGTATATGCTCTACCAATATTTTCCCTGTGCCTGTGTGTGTGTGTGTGTGTGTGTGTGTGTGTGTGTGTGTATTCTAGAATTTGAAATGGAAAGAAAATGTAAGGGATAGGCCTGTAGATCTGAGCAGTTACTTGGCATATCAATGACCCCTGTAAACAGGCTGAGACTCTATCTGTACCAAGATAGATTGCTTGAACCCAAGATCACTTGAACCCAGGAGGTCAAGGCTGCAGTGAGCTGTACTCTTGCCATTGCACTCCAGTCTGGGCAACAGGATAAGACTTTGTGTCTTAAAAAGAAAAAAGAAAAAAAGAAAATAAATGCCAATGCCCAGGCCCTGACCTTTCTCCGAGGCTCTGATTTATGTGGCCAGGATGCTAGGGAGAGTAGGAAGAGGGACTAGAAATAGGTATATTTTAGGGTTTTCCAAATAAAAACATCCAAACATAGGACTTAATTGCTTAATTATAACATTAATAAATGTATCATTTTGATATATCAAATGTATCATTCTGTTAGATACATCAAATGTATACATTTGATTTTATATGTATCATTTAATACACTTCTGGCCTGATTTGGCCTAAGATACAAATCAGGCCATTTGTCCTGTCATTCAACTCCAACAGGATTTTACTTTTCCTGAATTTTTGGCATTGTAATCTTCTCTTTTGAGAACTCTATGAATGTAACTTACTCATGACACTCTCTATTACCACTCTTTCACACATTTCTGACTTTACTTAAGAATAAAGGAAATGTTAGCATGGGTTATGTGATACTCATAACATTTCCAGCTACATTCAACACTGGCAAGTTGTCTACATAGTTCATAAGCAGGTGATCTGGGAAAAAAATCCATGAAATTCCATACTCTACATGGGGCAGTCAGGTCAACTGACCAAGGGGAACCTTTCTGAAGAAAAAGGAGAAAGAGTCTGAGAATCAGACATATTTGGCTTTGAATTAAACAAAAGCACTTGTCTTTAGGTGACAAGTTACTGAATGTCTACGCTGGCCTTAGCTTTCTCAAGTGAAATGTGAATGATTATTCATTCGTAATCCCATACCATAAATACTACTTTTCTTCCTTCACTAACTTCTCAATGGTGTTGATATCCTAATTCTACAACTGTAACACAATATTATGACATTTTTCTAATACAATAAAAACAATCTTAACATATTTTTGCTCAGTAGAAAAATTTTGTCAGGCTTTTTCCACAGTATCTATGATTGTAATGGTAGGCTACACATTTTATTTTATTGATGAGAATAATGATCACTTTTATAAAGCCGAAAATATGCTTAAATTCCTTAACAGCTAATTCATACATCAATTTGGAATTGATGTATATCTATTTTCTGACAGCTGGATTATATAAGAAATTAGGATATATCTATTTTTTACACATCTTTTTTTCATGATTTTTCAATGTTTTTACTCATCAAATATTTCATGAAGTATTTGCTTCTACTTAAAGTAACAGAAGAAAACCTAATTTCCTGATGGTTATTTAGTCAGCATCAAATTTATTTGCTTCAGGGTCAGTTTATGACTAATGTCTGCCCCATTCTCTTTACTTACTTATCCGTGACTGTGAAGTTAGTAGGCTATGAATTGTTTGTTTCCTCTGACAGGATACTTTACCCAAGAATTAGAGAAAAGCAGTAGCTATTTATGCAGTAGCGAATGTGACTGTATCTCCTCTTTTCTCTGAAACACAAGATCCATATAATTAACATATTTCATATGTGACTAATAATGCATAGTCCTCTCTTCTAACTTCTCAATGCTTATGGATCTCTTGATTCTTCACTGCACTGAGAATGTTGCTAAAGCTAATTGGGAGAGTTTTGAATCATCCCTTAAGATACTTTACACTTGGTATAGTTTCTAGTATATCTTCTTTGAATGGTTATTTCATTTAAACTGTCACTAAATTAAAACCCCCTTTTTATTTCTAATCATTATGTCTATTAATTGAATTTAATATCAAAGAATAATTTTATTCTTTATATTCTATATATTGTTAGGACTATATAGCACTTTAGAGTTGTTAAGAACTAAAATTTAAAATAGCTTACATTTATTTTGAAACAAGGTATAAATATAAAATCTGACGAGTTGCATGCAGATAATTAAAGTTACATCAGGCAAATAATTAAAACATCTAATGATATGCATGGGATACAAATAAGAAACACAAATAGGCAAATACTCAATATATTAATATAGTAATTAGACATTATATGAATTCTTGTATATATGAATATATTAACCTAAACTAGAGGTCAGCAAACTTTTATTCATAAGGCATCAGATGGTAAGGCTTCTTTGCAATACTTAACTTTGCTGTTGCAGCAAAAAAGCAGCCATACACAATATATAAATGAACAAGGGACACTGTGTTCCAATAAAACTTAATTAACAATAAGGACCCAAGGTGGATTGCCTTTCCTAAAACTAGGTAGTAATTGCAAGCTCACAAATTCTGACTGAAAAACTTTCCTAGTTCAAATTTAGTGAACTGGACACAATCTGAATTGATCCATAATCAGCCTGGTTTTGTGATTAGATGGGTCATTGTGCACAGTTGTAATATTAAGAAGAACAATCATGAGCTCTTTTTTGCAAATTGACATTTTAAAACTTGGGGAAACATTTTTAGAGGAAGGCTGCTAGGAGGAGGGAAGAATATAAATATGTCACATTCCATTTGTATTAATAAATATATTTTAAAAACCATTTCCTTAGATATTGATTTTTTTTCTTTTTTTCTATTTTTTGGAGACTGAGTCTCACTCTGTAGCCCAGGCTGGAATAGAGTGGCACCATCTCCGCTCACTGCCACCTCCGCCTCCTGGGTTCAAGCGATTCTCTTGCCTCAGCCTTCCAAGTAGCTGGCGTGCGCCACCACGCCCGGCTAATTTTCTTTTGTATTTTTTTAGTAGAGACAGGGTTTCACCATATTGGCTAGGATGGTCTCGAACTCCTGATCTTGTGATCCACCCGCCTCGGCCTCCCAAAGTGCTGGGATTACAGGCGTGAGCCACCGTGCCCGGCCTGATATTTCATTTTAGTATAACATGTTATATCAATAAAATATCAAACATTAAGAATAATTTGATAAATATGTATACATATGCCCAGATTTATACATCTGTACCTACATAGGTATATACAATTACCTAAGTACACATATCAGCTTGCTAGTTTACGTGGTGTCAGTGACATATTTATCCCTATATATGCTTATATGTTGTTTCAAGTTTAATTCTTTCTGATGAATGTCTGGATGTATGATCCAAGTAGGATTTTTAAGTTTCTAGAATGGATTTCTATTTGCCTGGCACTGAAAATATGAGCAAGAAATGTGAACTCTTCCCCATATCTTTGCTTTTCAGGAGTTATCACTAAAGCAGATCTGTACAATTGACTCCTATACTATGAAGCTCATATTGGATTTCAATGTGTGGCTTTAAACCCCAGGCATGGTCCAATTTTCTGAATTATTCACACATAATCACTCCAGGGGATTACATTTAAGCATGATGGGAAAGTGCCTTAAAGCAGGCAGCCATAAAGAGTCTTGCCCTTTAGTAGATATTCAGAATACATTAAGGATGATGATAACATAGCATTCATGCCCTAAGTGCATTAAATTCACCTATTGAGAGATGATGGGAGAGAGTGATGATTTCAGGTGACTCGGATAAGCATTTAATCACCATTCTCTTCACTTATTTGTTATTAGAGGAATATGTATTTAAGAAGAAGGAAAAGAAGACTAATTCACTAAGTGGCATTGATTCTACATAATACATAGTCAGACATGCCCATCAAAGTTATGGCTATCAGAAATAATAGATTAAGTAAATTGTGTCTCTTAAACTAATAATACAAAAATACTGTTATTACTACTGTGAATAATCATGCTTTTTAAATCCAAATACATGTTATTTTCTGAATAAAAAGAGTTAAATAGAGATATTAGCAAAATTCCATCTCACATAGTTTAAAATCACAATTATTTTAAATAAATATTACAAATGATTTGGTAAAAAATAAGACTTCATATGTTTAAAAAATATAAAGCCATTTTTGGATTTCTGGGAATATTACAGAAAATGTACAAAAGTTGTCCTATGATAAGTAAAGTTAGATAAGTATTATAACGTTTGCATAATTTTATAACACAACTTTTTATAAAGTTTGTTTTCATTTAAAAACCCCATTTTCTCAATCTATAAGGTAACTAGCTTTAATTATCCAACCATATCACAGTGTACAAGTGCTTTCACGATTGAGGCGTGTGAAAAAGGCTTGATGTTGGTATGAGGTTGGTTTTAATGGCACCTTTTTTTTTTTTTGCTAAGATAATAGATGTTCTAAAAAATATTTTAATTTTTATTTTAGGCTCAGGGGCACATGTGCAGGTTTGTTATATAGGTAAACTGATGACTTGAGGGTTTGGTGTATATATTATGCCATCACCCTGATAATAAGATAGTGCCGACAGTTTTTTGTTTTTGTTTTTATTTTTTTCTGGACCTCTTTCTCCATGTGAATGAACTTTGAAAAGAGCTTGTACACAATCTACTAAGCAAGAGGATGACTGGTAGAATATTAAGCATGCAGGACCACATCCTATTTATCTGTAAACCATGGTAAATTCCAATTACCACTGATGCCTATTAGAAGATTTTAAGCAGTATGATAATATAACATTCAATATTTAAAATGTCACTCTGAGCAATTTCTGGAGATGATTAGACAACAAATTGGACACAAGAAAAGCTCAAGAAAAATCAATAATTGGGTAGATTCAAAACATTTTGAACATCAGAAAAAACCCCAGTGGATTGATTGTAGAGGGTGATGAAGAAAGCAGATGAGAAACAATGTTGGCTGGAATAGAAACACATTGTAGGCAGGAGGAAGAAGGGAAACAGATGGTCAGTTTACTTTACCAGCAAGGCATCCAACCAGAGACTCGTGGCAATTGAATATATGAGTCTGGTGTTTGGAGTACCGGTCCTAGATATAAGTGTTGTCAACATAAAAATGGCATTTAAAGCAAATGGGAGGTTGGAAATCGACGGTCTGTCCACCCATGAATATTCAGACTACATCTGGGAAGTTAACATTAACTCTCTACTTTCATAAATGTATTCCAATTTGTTTCTGCTACATTTCACGTTTCCCTTATAATGAGAAATGAAGGAGATAAGAAGAAAACAGTTTAATTTATGCAAATACTTCTGTACAGTTTTTACCTTGCCACTCTATTAATATATTGATGTTAGGTGAAATATTTATATGGATTATTTTAATAAAATAAAATTGTTCCTTATTGATTTAGCAAATATTATTTACTACATATAAAAAGGTTGCTCCAAGGCAATTAAACATGCTATGAGAGGTATAATTTACAACTAAATTTATTTAATTATTTAGTATTATTTATTTATTTATTTATTTATTTATTATTTATTTATTTTTCCTTGAAACGGGGTCTCACTTTGTTGCCCAGGCTGGAGTGCACTGTGGTGATCTCAGCTCACTGCAACCTCTGCCTCCCAGGTTCAAAGAATTCTCATGTGTCAGCCTCCCAAGTAGCTGGGACTAGAGGCACCTGCACCACACCCAGCTAATTTTTGTATTTTTAGTAGAGACTGGGTTTCGCCATGTTGACCAGCTGGTCTTGAACTCCTGGCCTGAAGTGATCCACCTGTCTCAGCCTCCCAAAGTGCTGGCATTACAGGCATAAGCCACCATGCCTGGCCTTATTTCATATTATTTCTATTAATTTTATTATGTTTGCCTTATATATTGTTTTTAATAATGATTAGTCAAGAAATAAAAATAGACTTTTAAATAAATTAATTAGTTAAAGTACATTTTAAATATTTTTCTCCAGATTTACAGTTAACAGCTTATTTTCTCATATAGAAACATTACATTAGATAAAATTTATTTTGAGTCTATTAGTACAGAATTTATGAAATTTCTGTTTGGTTTCAGGCTGAAATGTGTTTAATATGGGAGACAAAAGGGAATATGTAATAAAAGGAGGTAATTTATTCTGATGAAAAAATCTTTCCCTGGATTTGTAATATACAACTATATTTTAAAGGATAAAATACCTATGATATCTCCAAGATAATTGTGTTTCTTCATGCCCTACAGCCCCAGCTCCCTCAAACAAGAAAATTATATTTAAAAAACCTGTTGTCTACATTTATAAGATGCTCAAAAATATTTGTTCAGTTGACAATGATTGCAACTAGGTAAAAAGTTGTTATTCTAATTTGAATGATTACACAAATATATTTCCTAATATCCTTCCTTAATGCACAATTTTCATTTGGCATAGTTTTCCAGTAATTTTAATACAAAGAACATTTTATAATTGTCTTACCTGTGAAAGGAAAATATATATCAAATGGTGACAGAACTTATATCCAATAACTAGAAGTCTTGCTAACAGTAAAGACACATGTATTAATATTATTCTAAATTCAAATAGTAAATATGTTAATAAGGATAAATATTAACATTTCAGGTGGCTAAGATAGTACATGAAAATATATAGGTGAGTACTTAGCATATAGTAAGCATTCAGCAAAACATTTACTATAATTATTATTATCATTTATTTATTTTATAAAATATTAAATTTTACTTCATGGGACAAAATAATTTGCTTCAAACAAAGCAATGCACACTTAAATAGCTAATGTTTTTGCTCAAAGTTCTATGCCTTGTGTAGAACTGACATTATCTGTCTATTGGGGAGGAGCTCCATATAATCTGTATATAAACCTGTCTATCACTTTTGTCTTGCTTTTGTTTATTATTTGTAGTAATCTCAAGAATAAATATATGATATATGTGCTAAAGGAAACAAAATTATCACCAGTAAACTGAATGAGTTTTTCCATGACAGATTGTTTTGTATGTAGAATTACCCTAAAGGCTAGCCAAGAAACTGTGTTGGTAGAGATACAAGAATGACATTGTAATAGCCTATTTTGATGGACATAATTCATATGTGCCTAAATTTTCTAGGTTTCTGAGGCCACAATTTCAAATGTATAAATAAATGCCTAAAGCACCATCCTTTTTCATATGATAAATCCAATATCCTGCTTGACATTTTCAAGTATTCTAATGGTGCTTAGATTCACCTGATCACCTACCTTCTCCTTTAAAAACATACATTTTCAAGTAAATTTCTATAAAAAGTATAGGATGTAACAGGTTACAGTGAAATATCATTCCATGAGGAGATGTTAATAAAATACTCCACTGCATTTAATACATAAAGAAAATTTAGTTTTCCACTCAGCAAAATCATTATAGGTTTTAGGATGTGTTTGCAGGGACATTATCAGAAAATAGTGTCATAGGTTCAACTGATAGAACCTAATTACATTTTTGTTTTGCTTTCTTCCCTTGTAACGTAATCCAGGAGATTCTAAAATTTACATTCACAAAAGACACAGGTGACATACACATACATATGTGTATTAAAGTAAAATTCAAGGTACCGAGGACATTTTTTCTACGGTATAGAAAATGTTGTTTTTTGAAGCATTGCTTATTTTAGACTTAAGAAATTATTAAATTTTTTTAAAAAAGTCATTATGTAACCTGTTAGGTAGAAATTTTTTCTGCTCACTATCTTCTTCCCTGGACCCTTCTCAGCTGCAGCTCCATAGAACTGTTACTTGAAAGCCATATTCAGGTTTACAGCTTACGTGTGGAAAATATGTCATTGTGCTTTTTTTTTTTCTTTCTGGGAAATGCAAGGAAATTTACACCAGTGGAGTTAACCTTCAACTGACAAGGAACTGAAGCCAGTAGATATATGACTCAACCTCTGTCTGTCAAATGCCAAAATCATATTAGATGCTTCTCAGATGTAACACTAATAATCTACCCCATGTCAATTTTTTTCCTCCTCTCACTCTCCCTACTCACTCCTGTTTCCTATAATCATGACCAAATAAAGTATCTGTAACTCAAATCTTATCTCAAACACTATTCCAAAAAACCCAGAAGAAAAACACTATATCCCCAACACCTGAAATAGTGCCCAGCACATGGTAGAAATTTATTTATTTACTTATCGGCAGAAGTAAAGAATAAATGAAACTTATAGTATGTGAAAAACTCAATTTGAACTTTTAAATATAATATTATATTACATCTTCAGACAAATAAAGGTGATTTAAAATAGAACAGTTACTTGTAACAGGTTACAGTGAAATATCATTTCATGAGGAGATGCTAATGAAATATGATACTGCATTTACTATATAAAGACCATTTAGCTCTTATTCAACATATAAAACCTAATTATTTAATTAAATATGACAAAAGTATTGTGGTTTAATATGTTTTAAATGTATCAACTGGATGTGGCCAGTTTTATTCCTAAATATCAAATTGAATTCATCCATTATTATCTGTTTTGTCTAGTTTTAGCTATGGAAGAACTTAAGGGGTATAAAAATACTGATCTTATTCATGTAGCTTATAAATTTGGAGGAAATCAACTTAATGCATGATATGGTGTGGCTGTGTCTCCACCCAAATCTCATCTTGAATTGTAGCTCCCATAATTACCATGTGTCATGGGAGGGACTCGGTGGAAGGTAATTGAATCATGGGGGCAGTTTCCCCAAACTGTTCTGGTGATATGCTGCCATGTAAAACATGACTTTGCTCCTCCTTTGCTTTCCACCATGATTGTGAGGTCTCCCCAGCCATGTGGAACTGTGAGCCTATTAGATTTTTTTTCCTTTATAAATTACCCAGTCTCGGGTATGTCTTTATTAGCAGCATGAGAACAGACTAATACAATGCCATTTTACAGAATTATCATTATAACTTACCAGTGTTCCCCTCCATTTTTAATCTGTGCTTTTTATGACCATTTTTAAAAAGGTATATAACTAACACTAAAATCAACTTATAATTGTGAGGCAGGAGAATAGGATCTGAAGACAGGGTTCCTTCATTTCAGCCTCCAATTGCTTGCCAGCTGCGTGTTCATTTGCATAGGGTGTAACTCCACATCAGCCTCTGATTGGCTGTGGACCCAGTTCCCACTTTAGCCTCTGATTGGCCATGGGCCAACCCTTAATTTGCATAGGGTGTAACCAATTGGAAACCTCTAAAGGGTACCTAGGGGTGTTATCAAATTCTTCTAGCTTAATAAAAATCCCGGGAACATTACAGTCTTGGCTCTTGAGCTGCCTGCTTGAACTTGCTCCCACTTTGTGGAGAGTACTTTCACTTCAATAAATCTGTGCTTTTATTGCTTTGTTCTTTCATTGCTTTGTTTGTGTGTTTGTCCAATTCTTTGTTCAACATACCAAGAACCTGGATGATTTGTAGTCAAGAGCCTCCACTGGTAACAATTGTATCACTGTTAAAACTACTATGGTATTATTTTATTAGCTAAGTGTTATAAACCAAATGAATGACTAGCTTTATGAACATGTGCACCTAATCTCCACTCACTGCCAATATTTGAATAAGCTGTGCTGGAGTATAACTTATCAAATTATAGTCAAATAAATATAAGATCCTTTTAAGCTTACCTGTATATTAATTTCGTTTATGTTCAAAATTAATGAAAAAATAGCCAATGTCATTAGAGAAAGATAAAATATATTTTTAAATGGAAATGTTGGAAATGAAAAGCACAATATCTGGAAAATATAGTGATTGGTAATAATAATGAAATGGAGATGGCAGAGAAAAAGAGTCAGGTAACAGATGAATTAAAAATATCCAATCTGAAGAATAAAAAAAAAATAAATGGGCACCACATGAGGGAACAATGGGATATTATTAAAAGAGTGGATATATGGGCAACTGGAGTCCCAGAAGAAGAGTAGGTAGAGAATGAAAAATAAAGTATATTTTAAAAAATAATAACCAAAAGCTTTTACCATTTGTTAAAAGACATTTATTTAAACATATAAGAAACAGAGAAAGACACAAAATAGCAATTCAAAGAAAAACAAATGTAGACACATAGAAATCGAACTAAAAATAAAAAATTGAAAGATAGAGAAAAGTAATACAACAGTACAAATAAATAATTATAATGACAGCACACTTTTTATAAGAATGCAGAGGCAAGAAAACCTGCTCTAACAAAGTATAAAAGTAATATTCTGTATTTTCAAGTCACTTGACAGTAAATTGTGCACCGCTTAAAACAAAATTTGCAATCCTTTGGAGGAAAATAAAGTAACACAATTTGTAGGATGTATAATCTATTGTGTTTCATATACAAAGTTACTAGATATGCCAAAAATAGAAAAATATGAGCTAGATTCAAAAGAAATATATATGTCAAGTAATGCATGTTATGTTAGGACAGGCTTGTTTTGATTTTGCACTTATCCCTAAGACTGAGTCTTCACATGTGGTCTCTAGTTCTAAGGCATGGCCCTCTGGGGTCTCAACAGATGTTCGTAGGTATGTATTAACCCCTCTAATTTGGCTGCATTTGAATTCTAAATTATATACCTCTTGAAACAGGCAAAGGTTGAAGTCTATGCCCATCATGTTAGCCTGCCATCATATTTTTTTTTGTTTATTTTTCTCATTCTGGATTCTGTAAAATTATACTCATGTCTGTAAAGTTTATGGGTTAAAAAGGATATGATGAAAATGCACAAGTTCCAAACTTTGTCTTCAGACTTGTCATGTAGTTGAGCATTTCCACTTGAGCCATGTTACTGTATGGATTAAGGAGTGTCCAGAAAAAAATAATGCATGTAACCTCACCCAGTGTGATTACCTTCTTTCAAGGGTTTATTTGCTTCCATTTTCTGCCATCGCTGGTTGCTCTTCAATGCTTTCAAATGATTACTTTTATATTTGTTCAGATTTAGCATTGTTATCTGCAGAAGACTTAGTGTGACACAAGTTACTTAAGTTACTCTGACCTTAAAAGAACTTAACTCAAATTTAATGTTTAAATATATTGCTTTTTTATTTATTCTGTTATCTTCCTTTGACCTTCCAATTATGAAAACAGTGGTTTTTCTTTCTTCTTTACAAAGCTGTCACTTATGCCTAATCGATTGAACACTTTTCTATGCTTCCTATCAGATATTTTAAATGTAGTGATTAATTCTGTGATTGTTTCCTTTTTAATTTTTTTGCTTCACAATTCTTAATATTTTAACATTTAACACTTCTAGTTTGAGTTATTATAATTCAACTGTGAGTTCTTGAGACAAAAACACTCTTGAGTGAGTTGTTTGAATCTATAGGAAGCTGTTGATTACAATTTTAATCTCTTCTTCGGCAAATTTCTTATTTATCTGGTTCTCTCTCTTTACTAGTTTATTTTTCATATTCCTTTTAAAATTCTTTTCTTCATCACGTAAATAGACAGATTCCTTTTCATTATATTTTAACTTTGAAGGAAGCAGTAGTTCTTCCTAGACCAGCTGTTTGCAGAAGTACTTTGTGGATGACAGATCGCAAAAGAGAAAAGCTAACAGAAAACCTTCTTGAGATACAATGGAGTCTCATATGATGTAGAAATTTGCACAAGGATATCATATGATTTTCCTTTATGGAGCTTGAATTGTCAAGCATCAGTACCAGACACATAATGATGTTCAGAAAATATTTGTAAATAAATGAATGAGTTCATAGCTTCATGACATTCTATGATCCCTTGTGTGTTTTATTTGTTTGTCTGTTTGTTGCAGAGGGTTGTGGTATCATTTATCATCCCATCACCTGATAGGTGGCTTTTTACAGACTTCATATTTCCTCCTTTTCTTCATTGTGTCAAACAGGGCTTAGAGAGGCTTCCAGGGTAAGCTCTACATACTATTCTTGTTTGAAACAAGTGGCCATTTACTGTTTTCCCTCAAGCCATGACACCTACTTCAGAGACTTAGTGATCTGTCACTTTTACCAGATATTTGAAGTCAGTGTCCCCTTGGGTGTACTTCATCCACCTAGGTTTGTTATCGGTAAACTTCAGAGGCTCATTGAGGGGTATAGTATGGGTAGCTTTGATTTTTATCAGAAATGCTAATTCTATTTCAAAACTTTTTCACATCTATGTCTTCATTTGATTTCGGAGAAAAAAAAGCAAATATCAGCATCACTACTCTACATTTTAAAGCCAGAAATCTATACTCAGCATTCAAAGCCTTCTTCATTTTTTAAAATTAATAGAATCAAGCCACTCAGGATTTTCACAACCATAGTTCAGGATATGTGTCTTAGAAATAGGCAGAAGATAGGGCTTATTAAGTATTATTTCTTCTTTTTGAAAAATAAATACATAAACTTGATAATGTACAGTATTAAAAATGCAACTTGCACATAAAAATTTGAAGGTTTCAGAATCCAGAATACTTGTTGTTTTCTATGGGAGACCTAAGGGGACAAGAATCATATGCCATTCTTATGGACGTTTCTTTCTGCCCTTACTAAAACAGCAACTTCATAACAGACATTCTGAGAATAATTGAACTTGTTTTGGAAAATTTTCGATGTTTCTAAATTATTAATGATTTTTTTCAGCATTATCTTGGAGGAATAAAAGTGTTATAAACAGTCTCAATGCAATACATGTACAACTACATTACCGTGGCACATTTCAGAATATGCATTTTCTACTAACAGTTGGAGCGTCAATTCATGTCTCGTATCTGAGTAAATAGGTGTAAAGCTATGGAGCCCATGGTGTAAGCACGTGAGAGGTAAAGCTGCTGTCATGGCTTCACCCTTCTTACTACATGCCATGATTTCCTACTTATATAATTTCTTTTACTTTCTGCATTGAGGGCAAAAAAATTACTTAGCTGAACTTTGTTGATGCAATACTCACTGGTCAGAAAATGATTGAGACGTACATATATATACTTTTAACTCAATGTGCAAAATTTTGCTCGTATACTTAGGAAAGAGCTGGATAAAATTTTATTTCAAATACTAAATGTATACATTATAGTTTGCTATCTCCAAGGAATACTTAACACAATATATGCATGCATTTATTATCTAAATCATTAATTAAAATAAAAATGTAAAATTTGTCTCATTTATAGTTTATAAATTGAAATATCTTTAGATTAAATATTAACAAAGTGTGTAAGAATTTAAACATGCATTCAGGCTGGTCGGGCGCGGTGGCTCACGCCTGTAATCCCAGCAGTTTGGGAGGCTGAGGTGGGTGGATAACGAGGTCAGGAGATCGAGACCAGCCTGGCCAACATGGTGAAACCCCGTCTCTACTAAAAATACAAAAATTAGCCAGGTGTGGTGGCGCACGCCTGTAATCTCAGCTACTCGGGACGCTGAGGCAGAAAATTGCTTGAACCCGGGAGATGGAGGTTGTGGTGAGCCGACATCGCGACACTGTACTCCAGCCTGGGCGACAGAGCAAGGTTATGTCTCAAAACAAACAAACAAAACATACATTCAACTGTACTCAGAGACCAGCAACACAAATGAATCTAACAGTGCTGTGAAGCAATTTTACTACCCCTCCCCTAAAGTATTGACAATCTTCTCCAGTACGACAGCTTATTATAGATGGCTTAAATATGGATATGGTGGCCACATATATTAAAAAATGCTTTATGTATTCTCTTATATTCTTCTTGATATATTCATTAAAAATTGATAAGAACAAATAAAAAGCAACATATAAAATAGCAAAAATGTTTATCCTGGTATTTGTGTGTATGTTATACAGGTTACTAATGGTCTGTAGGTAGACTCCTTGTTACTAAATACATTAATAATTAGGAGTCTAGTAAGGTTTTCTACTATTATCAGGTAAATTTTTGAAAATTTATACTTAACTACTCAATTATTTATGTTATATGAATTTTGGAAAGTGTTGGCAATAAGTTGTTCATGGCACTTTCATATTTAAAATCTCTATTATGCGTGTATTTGGATCCCTTTTTTCATTCCAAATATTTTGTTTCTTTTTTATGTGTGGTTTTCTGTCTCTTTTCTTATGTTTTACTCTCTTTTTCCAGTTGTGCATTTTTATTAGTCTCAAAAATTAGACTTTGCTTGGGTTAATTTATTTGATTTTTTGCTTCTTATTCTTAGTTTACAATTATAGTTATTTTATTTTTTTTTTGTTAAATCTGTGCATTCTGGGTAGACAATATGTTCTGGCATGAAAATTGTTCTTTGATATTACAGTGGTTTTGAATGATTTCATCCTTCTGATGATACTTTTCTTTTTGTTGTAATTCCCTTTTATTTCCTAATAATATATTTTCTTTGCAATTATTATATATAATATTAGAAGAGCTTTGCATATTTTTCTTTGTTTACTTAGCTTTTCTTGATAGATCTTCCCACTAATTTTATAATTTTCCTGTGGGGATGAGACCATTAACTTTTTGTGGAACTTGCATGTACTTAAGTTCAATAGAAAAATACTCATCTTTCTACTAGTAAAGTTAATCTACTTACATTAATTGAATTATTAATGTATTTAAATTCATTTCTGTCATTTTATTTTGTTTTCTGTTTCTCATACCATTCTTTACTCTTTCTTTATTTCTATTTTTGTTTTCTATTGGACTGGTGTTATTTCTTCCTTTCTCATACTGCCTGACAAGTTAAAATCTCTGTTTTATTTTTATATTTTATATTTTATTGGGCATGTTAAATTTGTCCTGTTTTGTTCCATGGGAAATTACACGTGTTCTATAGCATCAGTTTCTACTTTCTTTAAGTCTATTTTTTCCTCCATTTTTAATACTCTTCAGTAATGTTCATTTTGTTTTGATAAATGTTATAACATTAGTGCATTTTCAGCAGTATTAGATCTTATTTGGGCTGCTTCATTTTATTTTTGTGGTGTTTTTAATTTTTCTTGCATTTTATAAGATTTGTCACATCACACCTTTGCTCCTTCTGTTATTTTGATGTATTTTAACTGAGCTCTTGTATCTCTGCTGTGAGCATCTTTGTAAATTTTATTCATTTAAATTTATAGCAATGCATTTGGTCCCAATATGTGTGTTTTGTGAAAATATTTACTTGTTTTTCTGTGTTGGGTTCCTTATTTGTTACTAATAATGTATTTATGCAAGTCTTTTCCTGGTTACTATTGTTATTAATAATATAAACAATCTTTTAATGAAACTAATTTGTCTAAGACCAGCTACTTGCAGCTGGATGGCATCTTGAGAGAAACCAGGTTAGTGACCCCGGCAAGTAGGGATCCTCTTTGATTCATGGCATAGCTTCTAAAGAAAAAGGGTTTTGGAAGTGTGTGGTTATTTCCATTTTAATTTTACTCAGTAAATACAGAACATTAACTGCAAGACTTCTTACAGGCAATTCACTTCCCTCCTACTGAGCTTCCTGCAAAATGTCATGCCTACTGCTCTTTTCTTAAAATTCGATATTCTGTTCATCATGGGTTTTTGCATTAATTTTGATATTTTTAAAGCACTGAATTAAAATATCATTTTTCTTGGCTACTGATGTTTTGTACCCCCTTAAATTTTGCACCCAGGGTTAATGCCTTGCCTGTCTTACTTTAATGAGACTCCCAGTGTCCCTTTTTTTAGCCCTTCCTACTTTGCTATGGTCTCTTATGCAGCTGATAGAGCATCGTTCCCGTTGTTCCTGTAAGGGGTGTTTTATTTTATATATTTACTCATTAATTTTTTTAATGCTGAACAACTATTTGGAGACCGCTGCTCTTCTGGCTTTATCTAAATCATCTGCAGCTACATGAATTGTTTTGTTTTGTTTTGTTTTGTTTTGTTTTTTGCTACATCTTCCTGGTAACAGAATATCACTGATCTTCATCACCTTTGGCTGTTTTTCTTCGTGCATATAATTTTGGGTTACATCCTCATTTAGTTTACGATAGTGTTTGTGTTTGTCTCTTCATCTTTGGAGGGTGCTCTTTTAGTGGAGAATATAGCAGAAACGTCATGACGGCATCTTAAAATATGAGTGATAATTTACTTCTTTGGTTCACCTTAGTTATTTTCTCAATATTTCTTTCATCTGCACAAGAAAGTACATACCATGAATGTGAAAATGTTTTTTAATATCAATTAAAATTAAATTTAATAAGTGGCTTGAAAATATAAAGTTTAACTCTGTAAAAATATATTTTGATTGTTGATTATTGCTTTTAAAACTTGTATTTCATGATTGTAATAGCAGATCAAATAATTCAACACGAGTAGTACAGAAGAAATGATTGTTGCTGTTTTGACATTAGGGCATTATGACTTTAGGACATCATGTTTATTAAAGTATTAAAATGTTGACACTGTCATTCATTTTATCAACTGGTATCTTTTTTTTTTTTTTTTTGAGACGGAGTCTCACTCTGTCCCCCAGGCTGGAGTGCAGTGGAGCGATCTCTGCTCACTGCAAACTGCAAGCTCCGCCTCCTGGGTTCACGCCATTCTACTGCCTCAGCCTCCTGAGTAGCTGCGACTACAGGTGCCCGCCACCATGCCCGGATAATTTTTTTGTATTTTTAGTAGAGACGGGGTTTCACCACGTTAGCCAGGATGGTCTCCATCTCCTGACCTCGTGATCCGCCCTCCTCGGCCTCCCAAAGTGCTAGGATTACAGGCGTGAGCCACCGCGCCCGGCCTGTATCTTTTTAACTATAAACATAAACATTTCTTAGCACTTGGTCACAGGGTGGTCATGTGATACAGAGTGTGTGTTTATTAAAATGAGTATCTCCAGACAATCAGTTCTCCTACAGTACTTGTGAAACTTTAAAAATAAAGACCCAGCTTGAGAAATCATACTGTATCCCACTGCTTCTTTAAGCAATGTCTTAACATATCTAGCAGTGCCAGGACATCAGAGATGCTAATGGAGTATTTTATTTTAGATAAAGAAACAACTATATTAAAAATACTCATCTCTAAAATGAGATCATTTTGGGGACATATTTGAAACTGGTAAAAGAGGCAGTTGTGTATCAGCAAAAGAGAGAAGTAGATTTCTAACAGTCATCCTATAAAAGTTGAGGATAATCAAGGCAAACATGAAAGAGAATATTAGGAGCCATAATAGAGAAGATATATGTAGTCCTCATTGTCTGGGCGTCTGTGGCATGAGATAAGAGAAAAGTATGAAATTATGTCTATAGGAAATGTAGCTAATGCAGGAATGATTGTAATTTTCTTCAAGAATATTTTCAGGGATATGGACACCTGGGTCAGTAGTCTCATCCTTCCTCATGTTGTGACTCACATAGAACATAATATTTGTATGGCACAATGAGGTAAAGAAACAAGGTCATGTGAACAAAGGTGACCATTGTTTAAGTCTATTTATCAAATTCCCATCTTGAGATAAAAGAGCTCAAGTGACTCAAATGTCAATATACTTATAAAACTATTTGTGATACAATATAGAGTATCTGCTGAGAAATTCTGAATTAAAGCTATTCATGAGAGGCAGCTCCATCAGTGAGAAAATCTACCAAATTTCTTTTAGGTAAAACACAGGAGTAAAACATTATTGAGCAGATTACAAATTCACAACAGGAAACACACAACTTAGCATTTTGAGCTTTTATTCTTGCTTGAGGACTCTGAACTGATATAATCAATACAGACTTCCCAAGCTATTGTAGGAAAGGACTCATCTTTTATGTCTTAGGAACAATCTATTAAGATAGTGCCAAAGAAGAATGCAATAGAAAAACCAAAAAGAAGGGCACATCATTTATTATTTTTGCTTGCTATAAATAGGATCAAAATCATCATATGTATTTTAAAAATATATGTACATATATATATATATTTGCATGCAAAAACAAAATATATGTTTTGACAGATTATTGACCGGAGACATAAATAATATTATGACCTGGTATTAACGAACATACCAGAAAATAGCAACAACCCAAAAAAATGTTCACAAAGACAAAAATGAAATGATTGTCTCTGCAGAAAACCTCCTTTAAAAATTTGCAAACAATACTTCTGGGATTAACAAGTGATCATAGAAAGGTTACAAGATATAAGATTAATATACAAAAGCCAATTGTTTCCTACACCCTAATAATGAACAAATGTAGTTCTAAATTAAAAACACGATACCATTTATGTTAGCACCAACAAATGAAATATTTAGGTATAATCCAGTAAAATATGCATAATATCTATATAAGAAAAATGACAAAAATCTGATGAGAGAAATCAAAGATCTAAATAGATGAAGAAATAGTCCATGTGCAAGGAAAGGAGTGTTAATATTGTTAAGATGTCAGTTCTTAACAACTTGATCTATAGATTTAATGCAATCCCAATACAAATCCCAGCAAGCTATTTTTTTTTTGCATATCAGCAAACCGATTCTAAAGTTTATAGGAAAAGGCAAAAAAAAAAAAACCACACAGAATAACCAAGGTTAAGAGCTTATAAAATTTAATAACAAAATAATAAACCAATTAGAATATTGGTAAAAGATATAAGCAGGTACCTCACCAAAGAAGATATAAAGATAGCAAATAAGTATATGAAAACATGCCTAAGGTAATATGTCATCAGAGAATTGCAAATCAAAACATTAATGAGATGCCATATACACCTATTGGAATACCAAAAATTCAAAATGCTGACACCACCAAATACTGGCAAGAATGGTGAGCAACGAGAACTTTTTCTTTCATTGGTGGTAGAAACAAGAAATTGTACAGACACTTTGAAAGGAAATTTGGCAGTTTCTTACAAAGCTAAACATACTCAGTATAAAATTCAGCAACTTTTACTTCTTGGAAATTAGCAAAATGAGTAGAAAACTTACATCCACATGAAAACTTCCACATTAATATTTACAGCAGCTTTATCTGTAATTGCCAAAACTTGGAAGCAACATCCATTCCTTGGAATATTATTAAGCACTAAAAAGAAATGAGCCATCTAGCCACAGGAAGACATGGAGGAAGTTTAAATGCATGTTGTTAACTGAAAGAAGCCAATCTTAAAACGCTACATACTGTACAATTCCAACCATGTGATATTCTGAAAAGGGGAAAACAATGGGAGCAGTAAAAAGATAAGTAACTGCCGATGGGTTTGAAGCAAGAGAGGGAGGAATGAATAGGTAGAGTGCAGGAAATGATTTTAGGGCAGTGAAATGATTCTGTATGATATTATAATGATGGATATATATCATTATACATTTTTCAAAACCCATAAAATGTACAACACAATGAGTAAACTCTAATCAAACTAGAAACTTAAGTTAATAATAACGATTCAGTACCAGTTTATTACTTTTAACAAATGCAAGATGTTAATAAGGGAAACTGGGGAGGGAGTGTATGGAAACTCTGTATTTTCTGCTCAGTTTTTCTCTGAATCTAAAATAACTCTAGCAAACTACATTGATGAAAAACAAAACAACAAAATAAAATCAAAACAACAAACAACAAAAATTTCATAAAGGGAAAGACCCAGGCTAAATTTGATGGCCACAGTGTAGTGACCTATGTACCCCCAAAACATTAGGCTAAATATACATCTGACATCTAAGAACCATTAACTAAAGATTATTGTTATTTTTATTGATGGCTATGATCCTGTTGGGGTCGTTATCTGAAAAATCACCATCAGAATTTAGCATTATTTGAGATTTTAATTTACGTAGTGTACGTAAAATTAGAAAGAGTAAAATATTAATTGGCATTATAAATAAGTAATGAAAGTAAATGACTGGAAGTGTTTTTAAAAATATGGTAAAAAGTTTGAAATAAATATCTTAGATCAAGCAAATAGATCCTATTTAATGAAGGTATAATTAAGTATCAGCTGATGACCAAAAGCATATCCCTCTTTCTCTCTAATTTGCTTTTGTTATCTCCAGAAAGAATTGTAATCAAATGGCAAACATTGGAAAAATATATTTTGAAGAAATAATTATACTCAAGTGCTGATGGGCATGTAGGAAAAAAGCCAATATATAAAAATAATCTAATATTTGCAAGAAAGTTCATTGACTACACATCCAGAAATACAGAAGACTCTTGCACATATACTTTCAGGACAATAGTTAATGAAAGAAACCACAGAGGATAGTGGAAATGCCAAAATAATGAAGATAAACATTTTTACAATTTTCTAAAATGGGAAAATGGGAAATAAGGGGATTGTAAAACTACATGTCAGTTAGCCAAAATGCTTGACACGGGTCTTTGGCAAAATTCTAAAACAGATTACGTAGCAGATGGTTTGTGAGCATTTAACAAATATGGTGTTGATCAGTAGGCACCAACATGAATTCATGTGGTGCAAATCATACCAAAGTACTTGTCTTTCCGTTATCATTGTGGCTATTAAGCCAGTAGACTGGTGGGGTATAGATATAATAATATTCTGAATTCAGCAAAGAATTTTGCAAAAGATTTATATCAAAATTTTATGTGTGATTTTCTAAAATGGTGCCAGCATGGAATTACTATTACATGGGATATTTTATCAGTGAATAACTCTAGCTAATTCTTGGTATAAATTGCTGTAATAGTTCTCAATATATATTGTGTATCAGAAACATTGGTGGAACATTTTTTAAAGACATGTGCTTAAATCTAGGCCTTACCTCAGATATCATGATTTAGTAAGTCTAGTTATACCTAGGTTATTTAAAATAATAACTTATGAAATAATGTAATGCAATTGTTTTTTACAACTTAAACTAAGAAATTAATATTATTTATAATCATTTAGTTTTGGGGCTTTATTTTTCATAACTGACTTTACTGTATAAAATATTACATGAGGCTTTATACTGGTGCCTTTTCATTTATAATTCAAAGCATGAAATAGTGTATTTCCATTTTTATATGAAACTTGATTTCCCACTTTAAAAAATATTTCAGCACGATATATAGAATAACTCTTTAAAACGTAAGTAATATATGATAAGTCTTCTATAAAACCTTCAAAGACTTCACTTCTCATTAGAGTAATTACTTAACCAACAAGGTTCAATATAGTTGATCTCCCCATTACCTCTCTGACCTCACCACCTCACTTTCTCCCTCATTCATTTTATTTTAGCCATACAGGCCCGTATGTTGTTCTCCAAACAAGCCAGCAATGCTATCACCTCAGCACCTTTGCATTTCCTGTCTCTGTTCCCCAGATTTCTACACCGAATTCTTCATCTGTTATTTATTTAACTAATTTTCTGCTTCCTGCACAGAGATTTCTGTTTATTTTGTTCATTGTTATATCCCCAGAGACTTCACAGTGCCTGGCATATGCTAGGTGAAACATACATCAATGAGTGAATATATAAATAACTAAGTTTTCTCTGCCCTTATACATTCTAAAATATAATCATTGTTTATATTAAAATGGAATATTGATTATAAGTTATTGTTTTAGGACTACATAAGACTACCACTATAATTCATGTTCCCTTCCTCATAAAACATATTTAATGATAGTAAATTTGACATTAGTAATACAAATACTTACAAAGACAACATATCTTAGTCATTTTATCACTTTACTTAAAATTCTGCCATTTTCTTTTCTAATTTACCTGTATCTTTACTATGTTTGAAAGCATATTAACACAAATTTACTTGATGATTTCTGAAAAAAAAAGTTACATTTGCCTCTTCCATGTCATACAGTTGTCAGTAATATTTAACATTTTAAAGAGTGTCCAAAATCTGTTCTATATTTTCAACAAATGATTAAATTTCACATACAAAAAATAAATTTGGACCTATGCTTATCATTATGTAAATACTGTAATTCAAATTGGATTACAAACTTAAATGTAATCAATAAAACTATAAAATTCTTGGAAGAAAGCATGAAATATATGTTAGTGACCTTTCACTGGGCAATAAAAAGCTCAAACAATAAAAGAAAATTATAGAGAAATAGAATTTCATCAGCATTTTAAAAAACGTGTTTCAAAGGACACCAACAACAAATGAAAAAGACAATTCACACAATAAGATAAAATGTTTGCCAACCATCTAGCTCGTGAGGGACTTGTATTCACTACATATTAGAAATGTACACATATACATACACATAACTCCACAAAGAAAATAAAAAATAACCAAATTCAAAATTCAGCAAAAAGAGCCAAAGAGACATCTATCAAAGAAGAGAAACAAAGACAAACAAAGAAGACATGAAATGATGCTCAAAATCTTTAGTTATTAATAAGGGGAGTGCAAATCAAAACCACAATGTGATATCGCTTCACACTCAATAGGATGAATAAAAAAGACAAACAATAATAAATGTTTTCAAGGATATGGAGAAAATGGGACACTTACAAATTTACTTCTAATAGGATTGTAAAATGATACAGCTGCTTTGTAAAACATTTTGGCCTTTCCTCAAAATGAGAAACATGGAGTTACCATATGACCAAGCAATTCCATGCCTAGGCATATATTGCAAAGTAATGAAAACACACTTCCACTTAAAAACTTGAACACAAATATTAGTAGCATTTATTAATAATAAAAAGGTAGAAAGAACCCACATGTATATCAACTGAGGAATTGATAAATGAAAATGGTATATCCATTTAATGGAATATAATTTACAATACATATAATGAAGTGCTGAAATATGTTACAACATGAATGTAATTTAAATATTATAATGACTGAAAGAATCTAGTCACAGAAGTCCACAGTTTGTATGTTTTCATTTGTATTTCCAAAATAGGCAAAGTCATGGAAACAAAATGTAGATCGGTAGTTGCCAGGGAATGAGAGAAAGTGGAAAATGGGGAGTGATTGCTAATATGTAAGAGATTTCTCTTTCTGTTGAAGAAAATCTTTTAAAATTAAATAATGGTGCAGATTGCACAACATTGTGAATATATTTTTTAAAATAACAAAAACACTAAATTGTACCGTTTTTCTTTCTTTTCTTTTTTTTTTTTTTAGAGTCAGGGTCTCACTTTGTTGTCCAGGCTGGTCTTGAACTCCTGGCTTCAAGTGATCCTCCCACCTTGGCCTCCCAAAGTGCTGGAATTACAGGCGTGAGCCACTGCACCTGGCCACAACTGTACACTTTATAAAGAAGAATATTATGGCATATGATTTATATAGCAATAAACCTGTTAAAATATTCAATATACAACAATGTGATTACCTAACGCTCTGGTTAGATGATTAACATGTTTAAAACTTTTCAAGAAGCTTTCACTTATTTAAATTTTGACAGAATTTCCTTATAAAACTGATTATGAGAGATCACTTTGTTTTTATTGATAATAGAATTTTGGTGGCTTTCACTTTCTCTCCCCTCTTGTCAGGAGTCTGAATCTTACCATACAGTTCTGAAGAGTTCTATATAGAAGCACTATACTTTGCCCTTACGAAGTTGCAATCCAAACACACCTGAGTCAGTCTAGGTGGGTACCCAACCTAAACGAAACAGTCTAGGTGGGTACCCAACCTAAACGAAACAGTCTAGATGGGTACCCAACCTAAACGAATCAGTCTAGGTGGGTACCCAACCTAAACGAATCAGTCTAGCTGGGTACCCAACCTAAACGCTGAAAAATTTGTATTCCGGCTGCACAATTCCGCTGTTCCTCAGAGTCACTTAATGTAATCCATCATCTATTTCTTCTGAAGGATTTGAATACATGACAAGTTTGGCTGAAGATGTGAGAAATGGAATAAAATAAGCGTGATGCTTGAAGCTGTAGAAATACGGAAAAGCAGAAGCTGTAATATGGCAAACTGAGTTGTGTTTAATAATGTACTATGAAGAATATGGATATAGAGAGAATCGTAGATGGGAAATCTGAATCATGAACCTGGAAAAATCTTCAATAACTAACAGATTGTCTGAAATACTGCCTAGTAGTTCAACAAGAGCTAAGTTTGTGTTCTAAAGGGGAAAAAATCAATGCTGCCTTGGCCATGAAGCCTACGTAGATGATTTCTGGTTCCCTTTCCTTTCTCACGAACCCATAAATTAAATATCATAACCTCAAATAATTTAGCGTATGTTTTACATAAAAAGATGTATAAATAATATACTTTATTTTTATTATCATTGCCTTTTTCCTTTTAACTGTAAATAAATATCAAAATTATTTTTATATAATAAAATAATATCCATTCCTCAAAAAAACTTTGAAAATATATCATTTTATTAACTCCAAAAATGCCATATAGACTATTTTTAAATCTTCTTATCCTTTGGATTTTTTCTGAGCTTACTGAAATCCTGAGTCTTCATTTTAACTTTGATTATTTTCATTATTTTCTGTTTTTAAAGATATCTTTCAACATTATTAAAATTTCTGGCTACTCTAATAATAATTATATTAAAACATATTTTTCATAATTATATTAAAACATTAATAATTATATTTAAAACATTCTTATCTAAGTTTCTATTTTCAATTTGTGGAAATTTTTAGTCAAATGTAATTTCTGTTACGATGACACAATTTATTTAACTACCATTATCTTTTAACATGAACCTTTAAAACAGAAAAATGTGCATTTCTTCTTTCATTATGGCTTTTGTCACACAAATTCGCATGGTATCTTAAATCTTATGGGGAACTAAAAATACTTAATTTTTGTTTTTTGTAATATTAGGTAAATATCAAATAGTTATAGTTTAGTTTGTGTTTGTGTATTTCTCCTTCGACTCTGGTTTATTGCAGATATGTGGTAAAGTGTTGGTCTGATTCTTGATTTTACATGACTTTCTACATTTTTAATGCCTGAATGTGAAACACTTTTTTCAAATAAAATCTTGCTGGGATGGGGCGCAGTGGCTGATTCCTGTAATCGCAACGCTTTGGGAGACCCAGCGGGAGGATCATTTGAGCCCGGGAGTTGGAGATCAGCCTAGGCCACATAGAGACTTCGTCTCTAATAACAGATACAAAAAACAGCCCAGTGCGGTGGCTTGCACCTATAGGCCCAGCTACTAGGGAGGCTGAGGTGGGAGGATTACCTGAGCCCAGGAGTTCCAGGCTGCAGTGAGCCAAGGTCACACCACTGCACTCCAACCTAAGTGACAGAGGAAGACCCTGTCTCACAAAAACAACAACAACAAACAAAAACAAAACAACAACAACAACAAAAAAACATTACCAGGAAGACTAATATATTATTAATTAATACTTAATTGTTCTTTAAGTTCTATCCACTCAGACTGTTTCTTTCCTTTCCATAGTTGTTCCTTGGCACTTTAGAATTTCTTATAAAACAAATTGAAAATCATAGTTTTGGAATAACTTTTAAATCATTCCATTTTACCATAGAGCTGCAGCTCTCAAACTCCTGTGCTCAAGTGTTTGTCCTCAGCCCTGAGTTATCTGGAAATATCTAGATAATTTTAATTGCTGTAACTGGCATGAGGTGTTCTGGTATGTAGAATGTAGAGGTTAGAGATGCAGTTAAACATCCTACAGCGTATAGGACAGCACCCCACTACAATAATTATCTGATCTCAAATGTCAAAAGTACCATTGTTGAGAAATGTTGTGAAGGAGATTTATTCTGAATAAGTATTCATTCCACCAACAATATTCATACTCTTGTGGGTGATGATGCTTTGTTATGACCATATCATGAATACAAAATTATAAACCAATATGAGAAATTGTTTACATGTTACTCTTTAGTTCTCAGCTACGATAAGCAAGTACATCTTTAACCCATATTTCTCAAGCAACACTGACTGGAGGTGAAAAATTAAAAAGTGGGTCAAATCTCAAATAAATCATGTTGACTTTTACTCTTAAACCTGCTCATAACACATTTTTTTTGCAACACAGTAAATAGCACCAACAATCTTCCAGTTGTTTAGACCAAAATTTTAGCCATCATTTATCTTTCAGTGCTTTCTTTCTCTCACATGACACATCTCATCTAATCACAAATTCTGTTTTATGTCTGTGTGTGCATGTGTGTATGGTTTGTATGAATACATACAAACAAAATTGTTAGAAGTGATCAGCTTTCTGTGTAGAATACGTATTTATATTTATAATCAAACCTTACCACTTTTACTCATTTCCAGTCTTACCATCCCAGAACAAGCCATCTGGATTATAACAGCAGCTTCCAAGTTGAAAAATAATTTCTGTACTGATTCTTTTGACACTCTCTTCCTTCTTCCCACTCAAGTGACTTTGTCATACATTATTTCAAATGACACTTTAAGGTTGAAATAAGACATGTTTTTGTTTCCAAAATCCCTTCAGTATATTCTCATCACAGACAACATGAAAGACAAAGGTAACACCTTACCAAAGATGATGTACAGATGGCAAATAAGCATATAAAAGGATGTTCAACATTATATGTCAATTCAGAATTGCAAATCAAAACCACAATTGATTTTACTGCACCTATATAAGAATGGCAAAATTCAAAATGCTGCCAAGAGAAAACGTTGGTAAGGATGTAGAGAAACAGGAAATCTTAGTTTCTGGTGGGAATGACAAATTGTACATCCATGTTCAGAAACAGTTGGTAGTTTCTTACAAATTTAAACATATTCACCATACAATCTAGAAATCACACTCCTTGACATTTATGCAAATTAGTTGAAACTTATGTCCACACACAAAAAAACCTGCACATAACTGTTTTTTAGCAGCTTTATTTATAAAACTTTTGAAAGCTGGAAGCAACCAAGATACCCTTCAATAAGTGAATAGATGAATGAACTGTGATACATCCAAACAATGGAATATTATTTAGTTCTAAAAAGAAATGAGTTTTCAAGTTAAGAGAAGACATAGACAAACCTTAAATGTATTTCTAAGTGAAATAATCCAATCTGAAAAGGCGACATTGCATTACAGGTTGAGTATCCCTTATCTAAATGCTTGGAACCAGACATATTTTAGATTTCACACATTTTTGGATTTGGGAATATTTTCATATACATAGTGAACTATCTTGGAGAAGGGACTCAATTCTAAACATATTTATTTATGTTTCATATACACCTTACACCAATATGCTGAAAGTCATTTTATTCAATACTTTAAATCATTTTGCACATGAAGCAAAGTTTGTGTTAAGTGCTTATGTGTGGAAGTTTCCACTTGTGGTGCCGTGTCAGCTCTCAAAAAGTTTCAGATTTTGAAGCATTTTGGATTTCACATATTCAGATTAGAGATGCTCCATTTGAAGTCTGCTAGGGCTGCCACAACAAAATACCACCAACTGGGTGGCTTAAACAACAAGTTTATTTCACAGCTATGGAGGCTGGAAGTCCAAGGTGTTGGCAGGTTTAGTTACTCCTGAGCACCCACTCCTTGAATGGCAGATGGTACCTTCTCACTTTGTCCTTACCCTTTTCTCTGTGTGTGCACATCCCTGGTGTATCTTTCTCTTCTTATAAGCCCACCAGTCATACTGAATTAGGTCCCCACACTTATAACTCTATTTAAGCCCAATTACCTACTTAAAGGACCTGCTTCCAAATACAGTCATATTGGGGGTTAGGGCTTCGATGTCTGAATTTCGGCAAGACACAGTTTAGTCCATTGCAGCTACATACTGTATAATTCCAACTATATGGACTTCTGGAAAAGGCAAAACTTTGGAGACAGCAAACAGTTAGGTGTTTTCCAGGTGTTAGGAAGGAAAGAATGATGAACAATTGGAGCCCAGAGGCTTTTTAGGGCAGTAAAACAACTCTTTATGATACCGTAATTGTGGGTACATGTCATCATACATTCGTTTAAACCCCTGAATAAACAACACCAAAAGTGATCTCCTTTGGAAACTATGAACTTGGAGTGATAGTGATGTGTCACCACATGTTAATTGATTGTGACAAATATATCACTCTGATGCAGGATGTTGATAGTATGACATTCTGTGGGTGCAGGGGGACAGGACATATATGGGACTCCATACTTCCCACCCGGTTTTCCTGTGAACCTAAAACTGCGCTAAAAAATAAAGTCCACTAAAACATAAAGTCCACCAAAAAACTAAAAAATAAAGTCCTTCTCATAAGGACACCAACCAACAAAAAAGCTGCTCCATTAGTTTCCTAAGTTTGCTTTAACAAGATACCACAAATTGGGTGACCCAAAATAATCGAAATTTATTGTCTCATGGGTCTGGTCTAGATGCTAGAAATCTGCAGTCAATGTGTCAGTAGGTCCACGTTCCCTCAGAAACCTATAGGGGAACCCCCCCCCCCACTTTTCTTTTTTCCTGTAACTAGCTTCTGGTTGTGTGCTGGTAATATTTTGTTTTTCTTGGTTTGCAGCTGCACAATTCCAAGCTCTGCCACCATTGATGCATGGTTCTCCCGTGTGTGGCTCTGTGTCTTCTCATGTTCATCTTCTCATAAGGACACCAGTCATGATGGGTTAGGAGTTTGTCCTACTCCGGTATGACCACTTCTTAACCAATTCTATTGCAATGTCACTATTTACAAACAAGATCACATTCTGGAGTACTTCAGCATATTTTTGGGAGGGTTTGGGAAGAGGTCACATTTCAATCCATAGCAGTTAAAATGACTACATGATTGTTCATGTTCTGGTCTCTGAATTTTTTGGTGTTGGGAGATTTCAGTTTCTGCCTCTCTGCGCCTCCCTCATGGTACTACAGCTGCAGAGGCTGTCTGTTATTCACAGGTTTGCAGTCTTCGCAGTTCTGGTTTCCTCTGCTTAGAATACTCTTCACTGGATATATATACGGCTCACTTCTTCATTTTATTCAGATCCTGACTCAGATTTAATCGCCTGAAAAACTTCTCTGGCCAGCCTGCTGCCATATCATCCTTCATTTCCCATCATAACACTTCTTGTTGTTTGATATTTGTTTCTTATTTAATATACATTGCCTTTCAGGAATGCAGGATAATATTGTACTTCCAATATCTGGAATGGCTTAGCACAGGGTGTGCACACATAGCTATATATTTTGAATGAGTGAATGATAAAAGTTTGATGAGATAATTTAGGTCGGTTAACAGCTTAAGCATTGTAACCTCCAGCACATGTGGTCCCCCAAAAAGACTGAAAGTGGGCAGTCCCTGAATTCATACCCGGCCACTCTCTGTATCTTCCTGAATTGCCAAATGGCTTTTCTTTTTCTCATTACATTGAAGTTGCGTCTTGTGCAAGGGCTGATTTCTGAAGTTAAAGATGAAAAAAAAAATTTACGTTATCAATGTTACCTTCAAAAATCCCCTTCAGTCCTCCTAAAATTATAATTTTAATAATTTGAGTATAAGGACTTGAATAATAAAATGTATGTATGAACCTAAAATATATACTGTATTTTATGACATAAAATGTTCATGTCTAAAATGTGATTTTACAGCATCTATAATTACATAAATAAAAGAAAAATATTTTGTACAATTTAAATTGTATAAGTTAAATGAGACTAGACATGACTACGGCTCTTGACAAGACTACATGGCATTACCAAAGGCAGAGTTAACATCAGTCTGTCATAACTACATGCTTGTGTTATTTCCCTGTGCCTAGTTATTGTTCTTCTCAGTGGTATACTCTGCTGAAGTGAGAGCAAGATTCTACACCTACCAAGGTTAAACCTATTATTTTTTTTTTTTGGTTAACTTTATTTTATTAAACTACGCATAAACTTGTGCTCTTCATTTTTATAATTTCCCTAGCCAAACAGCCAGCTCAATTGACCAGAACTTTCGTTTAATAGTCCCTTTGAATTGTAGCACTTTCTTGGTATTCAGTAACAGTTCCTTTGCAGGGCCACCACAGGAAGAACACACATGCCATTCTGAGGTTATCTTTGCTGATAACCAACTGATGCTGCTAAATAGGGCTGGGGCAAAGTGCCTCTTACCTCTCAGGAAAAGTTGCTTTTCCATTGAATACACTTGCCTTTAACATAAAGAAGTGTGTTTGTTCATCTCTTACTATACAGTGACAGCTGTATGCCCTGTCAACGAAATTGACTTCTATAACTCTTCTGTTAGAATCATAGGATCACTTTAATATCATCCAGATGCAAATAACTTATTTCATTAGCCACATCCTCCTGAACAAACTGTGCAATAAGTCTAGACTTTTGTATAAAGCATTGCAGAGTTTGTTCGGGAGAATATGGTTACTGAAAGAAGTTATATGCATCTGGATGATGTTAAAGTTATCCTTCTAGTGTCTAGTGGCACAAAAGGGTCACTGTAGTCAACAACAATTTATTGTATATTTTAAAATAGCTAAAAGAGCAGAGTTGTAATGTTCCTAACACAAGGAAATAATAAGGCTTGAGGTGATAGATACCACTATTACACTGATTTGATCATTACATATTGTATGCTTATATCAAAATATTATATATATCTCACAAATATGTACAACTATTATGTATCCATAATAATTAAAAATTTAAAAAATAAAAGTATACTGTATATTCCTCGTTTACTATCATAGTTATAAATCACTTTCTCAATGTTATTCTTGCACTTCATTTCTCCTTTGCGTCTGATTTTTCAAGACATATGACTAAATTATGGTCCACAGCTCACTCTTTGAAATTAACATTCTTTTGTTTCCCTCTTGACGTGACCTTGGCCCCCTTTAACAATGACCCTAGTTAACTCCACTGGCTATATAACCTCCAGCTGTCATGTGCAAAAACCCTTCTCGTTTTGGAAACTCTTCCCGCATTATCATATGTAGCTTGAAGTACTACTGTTTTCAAGAGTTAGAACTGAGCAGGCATCACTGGTATGGTGTTTCACATGTCGTTCACACAGAAGAGCCCGTCCTTTTCCCTCCTCCTAGACAACTACATGTTCTTGTGATGCCCTGCACAAACAAGACATCACCAACTATAGGCCATGTGCAACTACTTGTTTCCTTGATAGTAAAGGCGTTTACCTCATCTGTCCATAGGATCACAACATCCTCTTGTGACTAGACATAGGCGTTTATGAAACAGCTGCACTTCTTTAAAAACTAAGGCTTCGAAATAGGACAACTGTACAATCTGAAAAAAAAATCCTGCGACTATGTCTATTTCAGCAGACTTCTCTGATGAATGAAACAAATATGCCAAAATAAGCCAACTGTACTTAAAGCCATGCTGGTTTTCTTATATCTGATTCTAACTTTCATGAAAATGACTCGAGTTTGATAACTTCCTGTATTTTCAGTTCCCAGGTAAGAAATTAATCATCATTTCAGTGACATTCCCAGTGGAACCAAAGCAATGGCATTAGGAAAAAAAAAAATGAACTTGACCAGTTTGTTACTATTCCTTAGTGTATATGTAATATCAATGGAAAATCGAATTTTTCAGCATTCTATGTCTGATGAGTTATTTTTCTATAAAAAGAGCTACTGGAAAAAGTTTGGTTAATGGAGAAAGTTATACATAATATTTAACAAACAACAAATTGTGGTCTTTTTAGATGAAGTCTCTTAAGTTTGAGCATATCCCAGTAATTGATTAGAAGATAATAAAATACATATGCACATCTGTAAAACCTGAGAAACTCTGAATCTAACAGTGGTCCAGCTAAAGACATTTTTAACATAGCGGCTAGCTCTTACATTTTGATTTGGTAGAAAAAGAGCCTAATTGAGTCTTTCCTCATTCTGTTTCAAATTTATATAATTAGTAGCTAACAGAGACCAGAGAAGTTGCTCCATGAGTTTGTACAAAATCAATATATAATATTTAAATAACATATAATATAAATATTATACATTAAATCAATATATATATTAAAAAATAAAGTTATATTTAATAACTTTAACTTATTGATTATTACTATATGCAAATTCTCTGTACAAAGATCTTAGTAATTTTCTAGTTTTTGCAACAAATACATTGAATTCCTTTTCTGGCTTTCAAGTGTTTGTTTGTTTCCATTTATTTGCCTCTGAGCAACATACTCAAGATTTCTTACTCTTTTTTAAATAATTTTAAAATTCTACTCTAAATAAATAAGAATCCTCCTTGTTTCTGACAACTGTCTTTCTCATTCTGAATTGCTTGACATTTCCTCCTCATTTGAGGTGGATTTGGTTTGCCTATCCACCTGTCAACATCTACACCATTTTTCTGGGTCCACCTAGATCCTGATTCCTCCTATAATGCCTTTCCCGACTGCTGAGTCTCTCATGGATTTCTTTCTCCTCTGTTCTTCTCCTGTGTGTACAGTTGGCACCACACTATTTAGTACTTCATAATATATTATCCCATACTATTTACTGTCTCAAACCTGTTACTGCTTCTTGGCTTGCTGCTCAGGAGATTTCCTGAAATAAGTTTATTTTATTTATTACTTTTTCCTTCATATGTCTTTTTCACAACATCTAGTAGAGTTCTAAGTACATAGCAAGAGTTCAGCAAATATTTATTAATATTTTGAAATACAACAAGGTTAACATTTGATTCAATATTGTATATGTCTCATAATGTAACACAGCAGAAACAACACAGTTATTGAGTTAGAGAAATAAAGATTCAGGTCCTAACTCACCACTTTTGACTTGTGTACAAATTACTTTACCTCTCAGAGGATAGATTCCTCAACTGCACATGAAGTGTAAATACTATGCTATACTGTAAATACTTCTCAATAACTCTGGCTTGTAGTGTAATGGTTAAGAACAGTCTGAAGGCAGAAAGTAGATATGGATCTGGCTCTATCATTTATTTTTTATGTGACTTTGAGCAAGGTGGTTAGCTCTTCTCTATTTTAGTGTCCTAATCTACAAATCGGGCAGTAATAATAGTGCTTGATATACAGGCTTATGGTAAAAATTAAATGTATTACTATATGTAAAGTATTTAGAACTACCATTACCATTACATATTATATTATTATATGATTTTTGCTAGTATTTGTGTTAATATTAATAATATTACATGTCATTATTTTACTACTATTATGATACATGCAAAGTGCCTAGCATAGTGTCTAGTTTATAGTGTGTACATCATCAATGATAATTGCTAGTATTGTTATTGTGGCAACTGGCTAAGAGATTGGCTATCTCTTTGTCATCAACAAATAAGTCATTTTAATTTCTGCTATTATAGCTTATTTTGCTATTAATCATATTTTACACTCTCATTTTACCATTATATTTATCCACTAAGTCATCAGTTGTCCAAGCTTACATTATTGAATGGAAGCTTGAATATTGAATATAAAATAGAATAGTAACATAGGCCTGGTCAACTGATGACCTAATGGATAAATATAATGGTAAAGTAGGAGTGGAAAACATGTATAATAAAAAATAAGTTATAATAGCAGAAATTAAAATGACTTATTTGTTGAAGATGCCAAAACAATGTCATTTTGTAGATTAGGTCAATAAATATTTGCTGAAATATTGCTAGGTACATTATTATTTCAAAATGGTAGTAGTGTGATGTTGATTCAGTAAAGTAGCATATAATATTCTGGGATAATTTAAATAAAATTCGCACAAAAATATTGCCTTAATCTGTTTGAGTTCCTATAACCAAATATCATAAACTGGGTAGCTTATAAACAACAGAAATTTATTACTTACTGTTTTAGAGGCCAGCATGTTGCTATAATTTGGATATGCTTTGTTGATTCCCACTAAATCTCATGTTAAAATTTGATCCTCAATGTGACAGTGTTGGATGGTAGGGCCTGGTGGGAGGTGTTTAGGTTGTGGAGGCAGACCGCTAATGAATCACTTAGGTGCCCTTCTCAGGGTAATGAGTTATCACTCTCACAAGACTGGATTGGTTCATATGGGAATGAATTAGTTCTAGAGTTTTTATAAACCCAGGACATACTTTCGGTTTGGTCTCTTTCAGTGTATGCCTGCTTCGTCTTTAATCTTTTGTACCATGTGTTGATGTAAGACAAAAGCCCTCACTAGAAGTTGAGAATATGCTGGCACCATGCTTCTTGTATAGCCTGTAGAACCATGAGTTAAATATAACTCTTTCCTTTATAAATTGCCTAGCCTCAGGTATTTTTTTTCATTTTTTTATTTTTAATTTTTATGGGTACATAGTAGGTGTATATACTTATGGGTTACATGAGACGTTTTGATACAGGCCTGCAATGTAAAATAACCATATCATGGAGAACGACATATCCATCCCCTCAAGCATTATCCTTTGTGTTACAAACAACCTAACTATACTCTTTTAGTTATTTTAAAATGTACAATTAAGTTATCACTGACTGTAGTCACCCTTTTGTTTCTTAATAACAACACAAAACAGACCAAGCCAGAAGTCCAAGTTCAAGTTGCCAGCAGATTCACTGTCTGATGAGGGCTGGCTTCCCAGTTCACAGAAAGCACCATCTTGCTACAACCTCACATGACGGCAAGAGTGAATAAGCTTTCTGGGGACTCTTTTATAAGAACACTATTTGCATTCATAAGGAGTCTGCCCTCACGACCTGGGCCACCTCCCCAAAACCTCACCTTCCTACTGATATAAACTTGTGGGTTAGGATTTTCAACAAGAGTATAAGAGCAACTTGAATTTAGGCATAGAATATTTTCGTCTTTCTCAAAAGTGTCATTTTCTTTCTCAAAAGTGTCATTTTTCCTTTGTGTGACAAATTTTCTACCCTCTTCCAAATTCATGGCTTCGGTCATTTTTTTACCAACGTTCTGTCACTGCTTACTTATCTGTCTTTTCTAGAGATTAATGTGCATATAATTATTCAGTAGACTTGTTTTATGTCTGGCTTCCTTTGGTCAGCATTCATTTTTTAAAATTAATCCATGTTGCTGCTTGTATCAGTGGTTTGTTCAGTGTTTGTTGCTGGGAATGTGTACATTGTTTAAATAAAACCACCGTTTGTTTAACCATTTACCTATTTTTAGGCATTTGGGTTTTTTTCCAGTTAAGGAGTATTATGAATAAAGCCAAAACAAAGTTTTGTACCAGTCTTGTACCAAACATATGTCCAGTTATCTAGATATATGTTTCCATCTCACTCGGATAAATATCTAGGAGTGGGATTGATGAGTTGTATGGTAAGTACACGTCTAAATAGATGAGACATCCTGAATTACATTTTCACCAGCAGTGTATGAAAGTTCCAGTTCATGTTGATTTTCATTTCTGAGTTTCTTTCTGTAATTTAAATTTTTAGTTTTGATATATGTTTGAATTTATTCTTAATTTTTTAGCTCTAAAGTATTAAATATATTTATCATATTTTAGTTATCACTATAAATAACATTTTTACAATCCTTTGAAATTTTACATACTTGTATTTTATTTTAGCTTCATTCCAATTTTTTAAAATTTTTACTTTCTTTAGATAGCTTAATTAGCATTTACCACCTGAATGATTTTAAAAGTTCTTTATCTATTTCAAGTTCTTTTCTATAATTTGTTCATCTGTAGACTAAGCTATTAAGCTCCTAAGTATTTCTATTTTAATGTTAGTTGTCCATTATTCTTTTTTGTCAGAATTATTCTTGTATTACCTTCAATAAAATGAATATTGTTTTTCAATAATTCTGATAAACCATGTAGGTATGAAAGGTTCAACAACAATCACATCTGCAGTAAATTCAAATCCATAATCATTACTTAAAATACATAGTCCCCAAAATCCTTAAATTCACTTACAAAGGAGACCCATAAAATAGTTATTTTTTACTCAGTCATTCAAAGACTTAGTGAGATACAGGAAAATACCTGAATTAGGCCTTCTCTAAACATTTATGCAGCTCCCCAAGGGTACAAAGGACATTTTTATTAGAATATTTAGTTCCTTCACAGGTAATCAAAGTTTAAGACATAGAAATGTCTGTTCTCCAGAACTAATTTTTTTGTTTCCCTGTAGGAATTGTTTGCAGAAAAAGATTCCTCCATTAAAAAATAAAATAGCTGTGCTACATTTCAATGCAAATAGGTAAATTTTCCGTCCAGTGATGTGAAGTGTTTCCTTAGCCCATATTCAAACTCCTGGTTCACCAAACCAAGAAAACTGGAATATGACATATATTTAAATAATATGTAAATTTATAATGTTTGGACAGTACAAACTATAGTGGAAAATATTGATGAATTTTACATTAAAATGTCTTACTAGACTTTTAATCAGGTGATAACATAAAGTAAGCAGAAGACAAGCCATGCATGGAGAGGAGATATCTGCACCTCATGTAATTGACTAAAGAATATTACCCAAAATACACAGAGAATGAAGCAACTGGAACATAGCAGATACAGTTGC
The DNA here is from genome assembly GCF_000001405.40 of Homo sapiens. Taxonomy (NCBI): domain Eukaryota; kingdom Metazoa; phylum Chordata; class Mammalia; order Primates; family Hominidae; genus Homo; species Homo sapiens. The sequence goes on from NC_000003.12 coordinate 80,132,480, forward strand.
ACTAGAAATTTTTAAAAAGAGGGGTAGAGTGCTCAAAATTGTTAATATATGAAAACTTGCAACAAAATATCAGCGAATACCAAATATTTATAAGGATAAAAAGCTACAGATAGTGTATACCCTAATGACATCTGTCTACATTTGTAAATTTGTTTTGTAGATATTTATCACTATTTCAATCATTGAAAGAATATCTACTTACTATCCAGAGATTTCAATGAGGTACAGCTCTAGAGAGGATCTTGAATGTACACATCAGGAGCGATGTGGATAACATCAGTAGCAGGGTTTTTTGATTCCATAAAAAAAAAAAAAGTAAAACAAGTGTCTGTGGGTAAGTAAATGAACACATGCTGTGTACTCATAAGCTGGAGTATAATTTAGAAGTAAAAATTATTTTACTACTGCTATAGGCAGCCACATAGATGAATTTCAGAAACAAATTATGAAGTGAAAAATACAGAAATTGTGAAAACATTTTATGAAGTTAAAAATCATACAATAAAAAAAACTATGTGTTTTGGGGGTATACATATTAAGACATATTAAAACTATAACCAAAGAGAGAAAATGATCAACTCCATAGTAAGATTTTTGTTAATGTTTGTTGTACTAAGGGAGAAGAAGGAAACTGCATTGAAAGACACAGGTGATTCACAACGTGAGTAATGTTCTCACGCTTAATTTACATGAGACATATATAACTATTTTACTATTCATAGTAATTGTCTTAGTCTGTTCACTATAACAAATACCATTAACTGAGTATATTACAGACAACATAAATTTATTTTTCACGTTTCTGGAGACTGGGATTCAGTGTCTGGTGAAGGCCCTCTTTCTCAGTCAGAGAAGATGTCTTCTCACATGGTGGAAAGAGCTGGTGTTCTTTAGCCTCTCTCCTGAGGGTACTCACTAATCCCCTTTGTGAAGGCTCTGCCCTCATGACCTAATCAAATCCTACAAGTTTCACCTTCCTAATATTATCACCTTAGGAGTTAGAATTTCAACATATGAATGTTGGAGGACACAAATATTCAGACCTTAAGAGTAACTTACATTTCAAATTCCAGAGATTTAATCCTGATGTACCATTTATTGTAAGGTACATCCTTAATTCAGATATGTTAAAATTGAAGAAAGGTACATTTTAATATTAATACAGTATTTTTACACTAATGATATACTTTATTATCAAAATTGTGAAACCATCTTTTTGTCTAACTTATTTAGTATCATTAATGCATATTTTTATTAATGTATTCTAATTAAAAATCTGATATATCTTTCTATCACTCAAAACAATAAAATGTATTTTTCCTAAAACTCCAATTTTTGGCCAGGCGCAGTGGCTCACACCTGTAATTCCAGCCCTTTGGGAGGCCAAGGCGGGCCGATCATGAGGTCAGGAGTTCAAGACCAGCCTCGCCAACATAGTGAAACCTGGTCTCTACTAAAAATACAAAAAATTAGCCAGGCGTGGTGGTGGGCACCTGTAATCACAGCTACTTGGGAGGCTGAGGCAAGAGAATCGCTTGAACCCAGGAGGTGGAGGTTGCCTTGAGCCGAGATCAGGCCATTGCACTCCAGCCCTGGCAACAGTGTGAGACTCTGTCTCAAAAAAAAAAAAAAAAAAAAAAGGTCCAATTTTTGTTTTATATTATACTTCAACTGGAACACAAGAAAAAGTTATCTAACTACAATTTCACATTTAATATTCTATTGTGCTGTGCTCCTTATACTGGACTTTTACACAAAATAGCATTTTCACAAGCCTTAGCTATCTAAGAGCATATGTAAATTTTTAAAATTTTTAATCAAAGATTTGCACCCTCAATTTTCTAAATTTCATAAGAAAATAGAATAATGTCCTTTAATTTTTTGTATTCGAAGTTGTATCACCTGTCTGTGTCAGGCCCTATGTCAAATTGCAAAAAGCCTTATGCTTATTAATTTAATAACCTTTTATCTCTATACAGGCAGTTAAAATATGTCTTGTTAAATCTACTGAAATGAAAGAATTTTAAATATTTTGTCTTTATCCAAAACTCTGTTAAAATAATTTCAGCAGAAAATATTGTCAAATTTCCAAGTAAACATATCACAATTATTCATACATTATGGATATTTCTTCTTTTTAAAAAATCTTTACATCTCATGCATTTCTTTGCCTATTATGCAACCACAGAGCCTGCCCACTCTGTACAAGTACTATAAAGTGTGCCCATACAAGATGCAGAGTTGAATTAAAGATGCAGTGTCAGAGCCAGGCATTTGTAGTTGTGTATTTTATAATTAATTAGTGTAAAATGCTAATTTAAATCTGAATTAATATTCCTTTTCAAATATACTCAAAATGTAATTGCAGTGTACACAGTACAAATAATATAAATGGCTTGCCCAATCTATTACTCTGCAAAAGAGTTAGTGTGATGACCAATTAATGTAAGCATTTAAATATAGTTATATTGCTTGGCATGCAGAACTAACTCAGAGAAGGTTAAAGGTGTTATTAGAAACATTAATTTAACTCCCTCTGTAAATGACATACTATTATCATAAAATATAATATATGGTCATGAAAGAACACTTTAATAAAGTGTTGGTATAATTAGGGGGATTATGATAATGTGCCACTAATACAATGAGAAGTCTAATAGCACATATTCTTTTTCTTATTTTTGAAATTATAAGTGCTGCATTTCATAAAACTGGTTCTGTATCTTCCTTATATTATGTAATATACATATTCCATATATGCACATATTGTACTGGCAATAGTCAAATTTTTGCTTCTTTTGTTTGATATTTTTATTCTGAATGTATAAAGTAAATAATGCCAATCAGCTCTAATATTAATACTGATTAATTTTTTGTCTTTCCACACAAAGTGAAATGAAAATCAAAACGCTCAAGGAAGCTGGTTGAAAATCAGAATGAACGAAGAAAAGAAAGACCAAACTTTTTTCTCGTTTTCCCAAACTTTGAACTAAGTTTACGCATTTTTCTTGGTGTCCAAGAAAAATAAATTAAAAATTAAGTGCTTTATTTAATGTTCTTTAAAATATATTTGCTTTTTAGAGATATCAATTAGCATCCCACAGGAAGAAAATAGTGTTGATTTTTTTATTAACTCTTTTTTGTCCTAAACGAATACAATTCAATCACCAACAGCAAAACTCCTGAGTTTTTTTGATAGTTGCTAATAATATTGTATTGCATACACAGTACAATATTACAGAATAATTTAGAATACAATATAATACAATAATATGCAATTCAGTAATATTGTATTTACACATGCAATAGCCAATATAATTGGCTGATAATTCTGGATGAATTTATTCAAGAAAGAGAAGCAGATTTCATTATTTCCTGAAAGAAATTTATCATTTAAAAAGTACAACACTTCTAAGAATACTGTACATTTTAAAAGATTTTTGCAGTTTAGTTAGTTTGAATAGAAAAACATGTTCATTCTCAAATAACTAACCATTTCCAACTTTAAGCAGTCTGTATCATATATGTTTAAATATTTTGGAATGTTATTTATAAAACCTCTATTGACTAAAAGAGCAACTGAAGAATGAGAGGCCCACAGATTTAGCAACAAAATATGACTTTGATTTCTATTATTAGCTCTTAACTGTTAAACAGCAATTTTCCAGTAATTTTCAAATACTTTATCTTTATTTTTTCTTATAATCTACAAATTAATTGGCTCAGGAAAATAAGCTGAATGCTGAAAAAGAGCCAACAAATACTACATGTTTTTTGTCTGTTTGTTTGAGACAAAATCTTGCTCTGTCGCCCAGGCTGGAGTGGGAGTGCAATGGCACGATCTTGGCTCACTGCAGCCTCCGCCTCCCGGTTTCAAGCGATTCTCCTGCCTCAGCCTCCTGAGTAGCTGAGATTACAGGCATGCACCACCACGCCCAGCTAATTTATGTATTTTTTAGTAGAGACCGGGTTTCACTATGTTGTTCAGGCTGGTCTCGAACTCCTGACCTCGTGATCCACTGGCTTTGGCCTCCCAAAGGGCTGGGATTACAGGCGTGAGCCACCATACCCAGCCTACTGCAGGTTTTATATTCACACTTTACAACCAAAAAGTGCTAAATCATGGGCGATTATGATCAGAAATTACTTAAAATTACAATTATTAATGTTTGAGAGAGAACTTCATCTTTAATATATGGGTGCATAATACTCTAAGAAAATATATCACTCTGAATTTTTACAGCCAACATATTAAGAACATTCAAAATCAGACGGAGATGATCTTAGTCCCAAGATGCTACAAACAAAAAAGAGAAAGAAGAGATTCCCTGCTGAAACTCCAAACAAATGTATCAAAGCTTACCCTTCCCTTTTCCTTTAAACTAACTTCTATTGTCTATTCTAAAATGAGGGTTGTTTTAGTGATTGTGAACTAGAATGTGGTTACGATAGCAGTCTTAATTTAGATATGTGCTGGTCCTGTGAAATTAAAAGCTTGATTTACTTTGGAGTCATAGATTAACCTGTGGCTACTAATTTGCAGCACAAGATCAATAATAACTAACATTCTATAAACCGAACTATTGTTAAGTCATTACCACTTTATGAAATTGACTGTAGGAAGACCGGAAAGTTGTGTGGGTTAGAAGGGCCGTTTTCAGCAGCCGTTTTCAGTTCTTTATACTGTCTTACAAAAATCACTCCATTAGTGACTATGGAGGCATTATTAATAATTATAAATAATTAATGATACTTTAAAACTTTATTTACTATTTGAAAATAATATGACCTTGATATATTATCTGCTAAGTCTGTTTTGCAAACTTGGAAAATAAATTAGGTATCACTGGAGTATTCAGTGCTACTGACTTGTTTAAATTTATTTTCTATCCTGAGACTTTATTGAATTCATTTAATAGAATAGTGCCTCAAATCTCAATACTAATGTTGAATGTAAATTGCCTAAATGCTCCACTTAAAAGATATATAATGGCTAGCCATAGGCAGAAGATTGAAGTTTGACCCCTTCCTTACACCATATGCAAAAATCAACTCAAGGTGGATGACACACTTAAATTCGAAACCTCAAACTATAAAAATCCTGGAACACAACCTAGGCAATACCATCTTGGACATAAGAATGGGCAAAGATTTTATAAGACACCAAAAACAATCATGACAAAAGCAAAAATTGACAAGTGGGATCTAACTAAACTTAAGACCTTCTGCACAGCAAAAGAAACCATCAACAGAGTAGACAGACAACCTACAGAGTGGGAGAAAATATTTGCAAACTACGCATCTGGAAATGGTCTAATATCCAGCATCTATAAGGAACTTAAACACATTTACAAGAGAAAAACACACAACCCCATTAAATGTGAAACCTCAAACTATAAAAACCCTGGAAGACAACCTAGGCAATACCATCCTGGACATACGAATGGGCAAAGATTTTATGAGACACCAAAAACAATCATAACAAAACAAAAATTGACAAGTGGGATCTAATTAAACTTAAGAGCTTCTGCACAGCAAAAGAAACTATCAACAGAGTAAACAGACAACCTACAGAGTGGGAGAAAATATTTGCAAACTACGCATCTGGCAATGGTCTAATATCCAGCATCTATAAAGAACTTAAACAAATTTACAAGAGAAAAACACACAACACCATTAAAAAGAGGGCAAAGGACATGAATAGGCAGTTCTCAAAGGAAAACGTGGCGAGGAGCATATGAAAAATAGCTCATTATCACTGGTTATTAGAGAAATGCAAATCAAAAGCACAATGAGATACCATCTCACAGCAGTCAGAATGGCCATTATTAAAAAAAATCAATAAGTAACAGACGCTGGCAAGGTTGTCGAGAAAAGGGAACACTTATACACTGCTGGTGGGAGTGTAAATTATTTTAACCATTGTGGAAAGCACTATAGTGATTCCTCAAAAAGCTAAAAGCAGAACTACCATTTGATTCAGCAATCCCATTACTAGGTATATACCCAGAGGCATATAATTCAGTCTACCATAAAGACACATACACACAAATGTTCATTGAAGCACTATTCGCGATAGCAAAGACATGGAATCGACCTAAATTCCCATCAATGACAGACTGGTTAAAGCAAATTTGGTACATATACACCAAGAAATACAACGCAGCCATAAAAAATAACAAGATTATGTCTTTTATGGGAACGTGGATGGAACTGGAGGCTATTATTCTTAGCAAACTGGTGCAGAAACAAAAAAAAAACAAAATACTGCACATTCTCATTTAGAAGTAGGAGGTAAATAATAAGATCTTATGAACAAAAAGAAAGAAGCAATAGACACTGGGGTCTATTTGAAGGGGAAGGGAGAGGAGGGAAAGGAGCAGAAAAGTTAACTATTGGGTAGTGGGCTTAATACCTGAGTGATGAAATAATATGTACAACAAACCTCCATGACACATGTTTACCTGTGTAACAACCATTCACATGTATTTCCAAACCTAAAATAAGTTTTCTTGTTTGTTTGTTTTTGTTTTTGTTTTTTTTTAAGATATAGAATGGCAGAATTACAAAATACCACCAAGTATCTGCTGTCTTCAAGAGGCTCACCTAACACATAAAGACTCACATAAACTTGGCCAGGCATGGTGGCTCACACCTGTAATCCTAGTACTTTGGGAGGCTGAGTGGGGCAGATCACGAGATCAAGAGATCGAGACCATCTTGGCTAACACAGTGAAACCCCGTCTCTACTAAAAATACGAAAAATTAACCGGGCATGGTGGCACGTGCCTGTAATCCCAGCTACTCAGGAGGCTGAGGCAGGAGAATCACTTGAATCTGGGAGGCGGATGTTGCAGTGAGAGAGATCACTCCACTGCACTCCAGCCTGTGCGACAGAGTGAGACTCTGTCTCAAAAAAAAAAAAAAACCAAAAAAAAAAAAAAAACATAAAGACTCACATAAACTTAAGGTAAAGGGGTAGAAAAAGATATTCTACTCAAACAGAAACCAAAATTGACTAGTAGATGTTCTTATATCAGACAAAACAGGCTTTAAAGCGACAACAGTAAAAATAGACAAAGAAGGACATTACATAATAATAAAGGGATTCGTCCAACAGGAAGATATTACAATCCTAAACACATATGCACCTAACACTGGAGCTTCCAAATTTATAAAACAATTACTACTAGACCTAAGAAATGAGATAGACAGCAACAGAATAATAGTAGGGGACTTCAGTACTCCACTGACAGCAGTAGGCAGATCATCAAGACAGAAAGCCTACAAAGACACAATGGACTTAAACTACACCCTAGAACAAATGGACTTAACAGATATTTACAGAACTTTCTACCCAACAACTGCAGAATATACATTATTCTCTTCAGTGCATGGAACATTCTCCAAGATAGACCACGTGACAGTCCACAAAACAATTCTCAATAAATTTAAGAACATCAAAATTATATCAAGCATCTTCTCAGACCACAGCGGGATAAAAGTGGTAATCAACTCCAGAAGGAACCCTCAAAACCATGCAAATACATGGAAATTAAATAATCTGCTTTTGAATGATCTTTGGGTTAAAAATGAAATCACGATGGAAATTTTAGAAATTTTTTGGAATGAGTGATAATAGTGACACAACATATCAAAACCTGCAGGACACAGCAAAAGCAGTGCTAAGAGGAAAGTTCATAGCAATAAATGCCTGCACAAAAAAGTCTGAAAGAGCACAAATAGATGATCAAATGTCACAACTCAAGGAACTAGAGAAACAAGAACAAACTAAACCCAAACCCAGTAGAAGAAAAGAAATTACAAAAGTCAGAGCAGAACTAAATGAAATTGAAACAAGAAAATACAAAAGATAAATGAAAAAAAAGCTGGTTATTTGAAAATAATAAACAAAAATCTGAAACAAAAAGCTGGTTATTTGAAAAGGATAAACAAAATTGATAGACCATTAGTGAGATTAACCAAGAGAAAGGAGAGAAGATTCAAATATGCTCAATTGGGAATGAAACGGGAGATATTATAGCTGATACCACAGAAATATAAAAGATAATTGAAGGGCATTATGAACATCTTTGTGTGCACAAGCTAGAAAATCAAGAGGAGATGGATAAATTCCAGCTTTTTATTTCATTGAAACTATTCCAAAAGTTAGAGAAAGAGAATCCTCCCTAAATCATTCTATAAAGCTAGTATCAACCTAATACCAAAACCAGGAAAGGACATGACAACAAAAAAATTAAACTACAGACCAATATCCCTGATGAAAATAGTTTAAAAATGATCAAAAAATACTAATAATAGGAAACTGAATCCAACAGCTTATCAAAAAGGTAACATATCATGATGAAGCAGATTTCATACCAGGGTTGATTTAACATCTGCAGGTCAATAAATGTGATCCATTATATAATAAGAATTAAACACAAAAATCATATGATCATCTCAATAGATGTAGAAAGAGGCTTTTGTCAAAATCCAGCATCCCTTTATGATAAAAATCCCCAACACAATTGGCATAGAAGAGACATACCTCAAAGTAATAAAAGTTATCTATGACATACCCACAGCCAACATCATACTGAATGGGGAAAAGTTGACATTCCCCTGAGAACTGGAACAAGACAAGGATGCCCACTTTTACCATTTCTATTCAACAGTACAGAAAGTCCTAGTCAGAGCAATCATACAAGAGAAAGAAGTAAAGCACATCCAAATCAGTAAAGAGGAAGTCAAACTGTCACTGTTTGCTGATGATATGATTGTATACCTACAAAATCCTAAAGACTCATCCAAAAAGCTCCTAGATTTGATAAATGAGTTCTATTGAGTTGTCTTTCTACTAAAGAGTGTATAATTTTTTTTGCATTATCTGGATACTTCAATTACAAACATTTTCTCCTAATTTGTGGCTTGTCTCTCAACTCCTTTTACATTCTCTTTATGATTAAGAATATTTTATTTTAAAGTTTTCAAATTTATCTTTTTTTTACATTTTTCATATTTGTATTTCATTTAAAGATGTTTATTGTCTGCTATCTTAAAATACACTTCTATATTGTCTTCCAAAATATTTTAAATTTTGCCTTACACAGTTTCGTTCCTAATCTGTGTGTAACTAATTTTCCCCCTCTTGCATGTGATGTGCTAATAATCCTTAAAAGACCTAAGAAGAGACCTAATGGAAGTTAGAGTTTATGGCAATAAAGGTCAAGGTGACATTATTAAGAAAGTATTTTACATTAGCCTGACGTTGCAAAATTTATGAGGGAGGAAGAATGCAAAATTGTTATATGTTTATCCATGTGGAGGCAACAATTTTTCCCATGACCCTTTATTGATTATTACATCCTTTCTCACTGATTAGCAGTGCAAGTTACAGCATGTGTCAAGATCTGATACATTTATGGGTGCCTTTTACCATCTACCTACTCAGTTGATTAATCAATTTGTCTATCATGGTGCTAATGCCACACAGTGCTAAAACAGAAAAAAAAATATTGTTCTAGAGTCCCTTCTCCTTGCTGGGAATTAAATTCCAATGTTTTCCAAATAATCCTAATGTTGGTCGTGTGATTCTGTCAAAAGTCAGCCACTGATTGGAAAAGGCAAATGCTTAGTGGGGAAAAATCAGTATCATAAGCTTGGCTCACTTCTCATGTATTTCTGTCCCTTTATGGTTTTGTCCTCCCAAATGTTTGTTGTTTGGGTAGCACTCCAATATTTACAGCTAGTTATTCACCATTTGCTCCTGTTCATCTTTTCTATTTGTTTTCAGTGAGGGAAATGGTCCAAAACAAATTTGTCCTCCATTACCAGAGAAACAACCAACTTGCCAATCTAATTGTTTCTCTATTTTCACTTCACTTATTATTTTAATTCTCTTTTTTCAAGTATATATGCCTGATTCATTACGTAGCTCATTTTAAAAATATTTTTATATTTTTAGTTCTTGTGGGTACTTAGTAGGCGTATATGTTTATGGGGTGCATGAGATAATTTGATACAGGCATACACAGCGCATAATAATCACATCATGGTAAATAGGGTATCCATCACCTCAAGCATTTATCCTTTCTTTGGGTTACAAACAATCCAATTATATGCTTTAGTTATTTAAAAGTGTACAATAAGTTATTGTTGTCTATAGACATCCTGTTGTTCTATCAAATATTAAATCATATTCATTCTATTTTTTGTAGCCATTAACCATCTGCACTCGTCATTCTCAACTACCTTTCCAGCCTCTGGTAACTGTCATTTTACTCCCTATTTCTATGAGTTCAATTGTTTCAATTTTTAGCTCCCACAAATTAACGAGAACATGTGAAATTTGTCTTTCTGTGCATGGCTTATTTCATGGAACATAATGACCTCCAGTTTCATCTATGTTGTTCCTAATGATAGGGTCTCATTGTTATTTACGGCCAAATATTACTCAATTATGTAGATAAACTACATTTTCTGTATTCATTAGTCTGCTGACAGACTCTTAGGTTGCTTCTTGGCTACTGTAAATAGTGGGAGTGCAGATATCTTTTTGATAAACCAATTTTCTTTCTTTTGGTTATACATGTAGCAGTGCGATTGCTGCATCATTTGGTAGTTCTATTTTTAGTTTTTTAAGGAACCTCCAAACTGATGTCCATAGTAGTTTTACTAATTTATATTCCCAAAAAGAGTGTGCAAGTGTTCCTTTTTCTCCACATCCTCCCCAGCATTTGTTATTGCTTATCTTTCAGATAAAAGTCATTTTTACTAGGGTAAGATGACATCCCATTGTAGTTTTGATTTGCATTTCTTCCATGATCAATGATGTTGAGCACCTTTTCGTATACCTGTTTTCCATTTCTATGTCTTCTTTTGGGAAATGTCTTTTCAGATCTTTTATCCATTTTTTTTTATTGGATTGTTAGTTTTCCTCAGAGCTGTTTGAACTCCTTATATATTCTGGTTATTAATTAGTTTTCCAATGAATGCTTTGTAAATATTTTCTTTCATTCTGTGAATTGATTCTTCACTTTGTTGATTGTTTTCTTTGCTATGCACAAGATTTTTCACTTTTCGCGATACTTTTTGATAATTTTTGTTTGCCTGTACTTGTGGGATATTACTCAAGAAATCTTTGCCCAGTCCAATATCCTAGAGAGTTTCTCCAATGTTTCTTTTAGTAGTTTTGTAGTTTGAGGTCTTAAATTTATGTCTTTAATCCATTTTTATTTGATTTTTATATGTCGTGAGAAATAGAAATCTAGTATCATTTCTCTGCATATGAATATCCAGTTTTCCCAACCCCATTTATTGAGGAGATTGTCCTCTCCCCAATGTGTGTTATTGACACCTTTGTTGAAAATGGGTTTACCATAGATGTATGGATTTGTTCCTGGGTTGTCTATTCAGTTCCATTGGTCTATGTGTCCGTTTTTATGCCAGTAACATGCTGTTTTGATTACTGTAGCTCTGTAGTAAAATTTAAGTCAAGTAATGTGATTCTTTCAGTATTGTTCTTTTTGCCCAAGATAGCTTTGCTATTCTGGGTCTTTTGTGGTTCCATATAAATATAATTTTTTTTTCTATTTATGTGAAGAATGTCATTGGTATTTGATCGCGTTAAACTTGCAGATTGCTTTGGGCAGTATGGACATTTTAACAGAATCGATTCTTCCAATTCATGCACATGGAATATCTTTCCATTTGTTTGTGTCTTCTTCAGTTTCTTTCATCAGTGTTTTATAATTTTCATTGTAGAGATTGTTCAGTTTGCATTAAGTTAATTCCTAGGTATTTAATTAAATAAAATTAAATAAGTAGCAATTGTAAATTGAATTTATTTTTATTTCTTTTTCAGATTATTTGCTATTGGCCTTTAAAAATACTACTGATTTTTAAACGTTGATTTTATATCCTGAAACTTTACTGAATTGGTTTATCATTTCTATGAGTTTTCTGGCAGAGTCCAGGATTTTTTAGATATAAGATTGTACTGGCCGGGCATGGTGGCCCACGCCTCTAATCCCAGCACTTTGGGAAGCCAAGGCAGGTGGATCACCTGAGGTCAGGAGTTCACAACTGGCCTGGCCAACATGGTGAAACTCCGCCTCTACTGAAAAGATAAAAAATTAACCAGGCATGGTTGTGGACGCCTGTAATTACAGCTACTCGGGAGGCTGAGGCAGGAGACTTGCTTGAACCTGGGAGGGAGAGGTTTCAGTGAGCCAAGTTCATGCCATTGCACTCCAGCCTGGGCAAAAAGAGGAAAACTCTGTCTCAAAAACAAAACAAAACAAAACAAAACAAAACGATTGTACCATCTGCAAAGAAGAATGATTTTGCTTCTTCCTTTCTCATTTGGATGGTCTTTATTTCTATTGTCTGATTGCTCCAGCTAGGACTCTCAGCAGTATGTTGAGTAACAGTGGTGAAAGTAAGCATCCTTGTTATGTTTCCCATCTTAGAGGAAAGGCTATTAGTTTTTTCCCCATTCAGTGTGATGCTAGCTGTGGGTCTATCATATATGACTTTTATTATGACGAGGTATGTTCCTTCTATACCTAGTTTCTTGAGGATTTCTCAATAAAAAATTTTATCAAATGCTTTTTCAGCATCAATTGTATTGATCATATTATTTTTGTCCTTCATTCTGTAGATACGACATATTGCATTGATTTACATGCACTGAGCTATCCTTGCATCCCTAGGATAAATCGCACTTTGTCATGATGAATGATCTTTTCAATATGTTGTTGAATTTGATCTACTAGTATGTCATTGAGGAATTATGCAATAATGTTAATCTGAGGTATGTAGTTTTATTTATTTATTTTTTGATATGCCTTTTCCTGGTTTTGATATCAGGGCAATACTGGCCTTGTGAGTGAGTTTGGAAGTATTTTCTCCTCTTTTATGTTTTGAAATAGTTTGAGTAGTATTGGTATTAGTTCTTCTTTAAATGTTTGCTAAAATTCAACAGTGAAACTCTTGGGTTTTACACTTTTCTTTGCCAGGAGATTTTATTATGGCTTTGATCTCATAATTTGTTACAGGTCTGTTTGGATTTTAAATTTCTTCATAGTTCAGGGTTGGTAAGTTGCATGTTTCTAGGAAATCATCCATTTCTTCTAGATTTTCCAATGTATGGACATACAGTTGCTCGTAGTAACCTCTAATGATCCTTTGAATTTCTACAGTATTGGTTGTAATGTCTTGTTTTTCATCTCTGATTTTATTTATTTAGGTTTTCTCTCTTTTTTTTTTGTTAGCCTGACTGAAGGTTTATCAATTTTGTTTAGCTTTTCAAAAAAACTAACATTTTGTTTTATTGATTTTTGTATTTTTTTTCCATTTATTTTATTTCTGCTCTGGTCTTTGTTATTACTTTTCTTCTAATTTTGAGTTTGGTTTGCTCTTGCTTTTATTCTCCTTTAAGATGCATCATTAGGTTGTTTATTTGGAGATTTTCTACTTTTTTGGTGTAGGTGCTTGTAACTACAAACTTCTTTCTTAATACTGATTTTACGTTACCCCATAGGTTTCAGTATGCTGTGTTTTCATCATCACTTGTTTCAATAAAAATTCCAATTTCCTTTTTAATTTCTTCATTGATCCACTGGTCATGCAGGAGCATATTGTTTAACTTCTATGTATTTGTATAATTTCCAGATTTTCTATTTTTATTGATTTCTAGTTTTATTCCATCATGGGCAGAAGATATACTTAATATTATTTTAATTTTTTGGAATGTTTTAAGACTTTTTTTTGGTCTAACATATTGTTATGTTGTGTCTACTCTTTTTTTACACATATTTAATTTTTTCCCCCTAATTATTGACTCCCAAGTAATCTTTCTTTTTTTTTTTTTATTTTGCTTTAAGTTCCAGGATACGTGTGCAGAATGTGCAGGTTTGTTACATAGGTATACGTGTGCCATGGTGGTTTGCTGCACTTTGAGCCATCCTTTAAGCTTCCATCCTTTGGCCACTACCCCCAACAGTCCCTGGTGTGTGTTGTTCCCCTCCCTGTGTCTGTATGTTATCATTGTTCAACTCCTACTTATGAGTGAGACCATGCAGTGTTCGTTTTTCCCCTTCCTGTGTTAGTTTGCTGAGAATGATGGCTTCCAGCTTCACCCATGTCCTTGCAAAGGACAGGATCTCATTCCTTTTTATGGCTGTGTAGTATTCCATAGTGCATATGTGCCACATTTTCTTTATCCAGTCTATCAATGACAGGCATTTGGGCTGGTTCCATGTCTTTGCTATTGTACGTAGTGCTGCAGTAAACATAAGTGTGCATGTGTCTTTATAGTAGAATGATTTATATTCTTTTGGGTGTATGCCCAGCAATGGGATTGCTGGGTCAAATGATATTCCTGGTTCTAGAACCTTGAGGAATTGCCATACTGTCTTCCACAATGATTGAATTAATTCACATTCCCACCAACAGTTTAAAAGTGTTCCTATTTCTCCACACCCTTGTCGTTCTTTCTTGACTTTTTAATAATTCTATTCTTTCTTGACTTTTTAATAATTGCCATTATAACTGGTGTGAGATGGTATCTCAAAGTGGTTTTGATTTACATTTCTCTAATGATCAGTGATGATGAGCTTTTTTTCATATGTTTGTTGGCTGCTTAATGTTTTCTTTTGAGAAGTGTCTGTTCATATCATTTGCCCAGTTTTTGATGTGGTTGTTTGTTTGTTTTTTCTTGCATATTTGTTGAAGTTCCTTGTAAATTCTGGATATTAGACCTTTGTCAGATGGGTAGATTGCAAAAATTTTCTCCCATTCTATAGGTTGCCTGTTCACTCTGATGATAGTTTCTTTTGCTGTTCAGAAGCTCTTTAGTTTAATTAGATCCCATTTGTCAGTTCTGGCTTTTGTTGCAATTGTTTTTGGCATTTTCATCATGAAGGCTTTGCCCTGCCTATGAACTGAATGGTATTGCCTAGGTTTTCTTCTAGGGTTTTTATGTTTTTTGGTTTTGCATTGAAGGCTTTAATCCAACTTGAGTTAAGTTTTGCTGAGTTAAGGTATAAGGAGGCTGTCCAGTTTCAGTTTTCTGCATATGACTAGCCAGTTTTCCCAGCACCATTTATTGAATAGGAGATCCTTTCCCCATTGCTTGCTTTTGTCAGGGTTATCGAGGATCAGATGGCTATAGATGTGTGGAGTTATTTATGAGGTCTCTGTTCTGTTCCATTGGTCTACATGTCTGTTTAGGTACCAGTACCATGCTGTTTTGGTTAATGTAGCCTTGTAGTATAGTTTGAAGCCAGGTAGAATGATGCCTCCAGTTTTGTTGGTTTTGCTTAGGTTTATCTTGGCTATACGGGGTCCTCTTTGATTTCACAGGAAATTTAAATTAGTTTTTTTTTTCTAATTCTGTGAAGAATGTCAATGGTAGTTTGATGAGAATAGCATTGAATCTATAAATTACTTTGGGCAGTGTGGCCATTTTCATGATACTGATTATTCTTATCCATGAGGATGGAATGTTTTTCCATTAGTTTGTGTCCTCTACTATTTCTTTGAGCAATGGTTTGAGGTCCTTCATATCTCTTTTTAGCTGTGTTATTAGGTATTTTATAACCCTTTCTAGTTACTGTGAATAGGAGTTCATTCATGATTTGGCTCTCTGCTTGTCTATTGTTTGTGTAAAAGAATACTTGTGATTTTTGCGCATTGATTTTGTATCCTGAGACAGCTGAAGTTGCTTATCAGTTTAAGGAGGTTTGGGGCTGACATGATGGGGTTTTCTAAATATAAAATTATGTCATCTGCAAACGGAGACAATTTGACTTCCCCTCTTCCTATTTGAATGCTCTTTATTTATTTCTCTTGCCTAAGTGCCCTAGCCAGAACTTCCAATACTATGTTGAATGAGAGTGGTGAGAAAGGGCATCCTTGTCTTGTGCCAGTTTTCAAAGGGAGTGCTCCCAGCTTTTGCCCATTCAATATGATATTGGCTGTGGGTTTGTCATAAATAGCTGTTATTATTTTGAGATATGTTCCATCAATACCTAGTTTATTGAGAGATTTTAACATGGAGGGATGTTGGATTTTATCAAAGGCCTTTTCTGCATCTATTGAGATAATCTTGTGGTTTTTGTCATTGGTTCTGTTTATGTGATGGGTTCCTATTATTGATTTGCATATGTTGAACCAGCCTCGCACTCCAGGGATGAAGCCGACTTGATCGTAATGGATAAACTGTTTGATGTGCTGCTGGATTCGCTTTGTCAGTATTTTACTGAGGATTTTCTTATTGATGTTCATCAGGGATATTGGCCTGAAGTTTTCTTTGTTTTGTTGTGTCTCTTCCCATTTTGGTATCAGGATGATGCTGGCTTCATAAAATGAGTTAGGGAGAAATCCCTCCTTTCAATCATTTGGAATAGTTTCAGAAGGAATGGTACCAGCTCCTCTTTGTACCTCTGATAGAATTTGGCTCTGAATCCAACTGGTTCTGGGCTTTTTTTGGTTGGTAGGCTATTAGTTACTGCCTCAATTTCAGAACTTGTTATTGATCTATTCAGGGATTCAACTTCTTCCTGGTTTAGTCTTGGGGGACCCAGGATTCATCTATTTCTTCTAGATTTTTTAGTTTATTTGTGTAGAGGTGTTTATAGTATTCCCTGATGGTAGTTTGTATTTCTGTGGTGTCAGTGGTAATATCTCCTTTACCATTTTTATTGTATCTATTTGATTCTTCTCTCTTTTCTTCTTTACTAGTCTAGCTAGTGGTCTATCCATTTTGTTAATCATTTCAAAAAAGCAGATCCTGGATTCATTGATTTTTTGGAAGATTTTTTGTGTCTCTGTATCCTTCATTTCTGCTCTGATCTTAGTTATTTCTTGTCCCCTGCTATCTTTTGATTAGTTTGCTATTGCTTCTTTAGTTCTTTTACTTGTAATGTTAATGTGTCAATTTGTAATCTTTCTAGCTTTCTGTTTTGGGCATTTAGTGTTATAATTTTCCCTCTTAACACTGCTTTACCTCTGTCCCAGAGATCCTGGTATATTTTCTCTTTGTTCTCATCGGTTTCAAAGAACTTCTTGATGTCTGCCTTAATTTCATTATTTACCCAAGAGTACTCAGGAGCAGGTGGTTCAATTTTCATGTAATTGTGTGGTTTTGAGTGAGTTTCTTAAGCCCAAGTTCTAATTTGATCGTACTGTGGTCTGAGAGGCTGTTATGATTTCAGTTTTTTTGCATTTGCTAAGGAGTGTTTTACTTCCAATTATGTGGTCGATTTTAGAATAAGAGCCATATTGCACTGAGAAGAATGTATATTCCGTTGATTGGGGGTGGAGAGTTCTGTAGATGTCTATTAGGTCTACTTGATCCAGAGCTGAGTTCAAGTCCTGAATATCCTTGTTAATTTTCTGTCTTGAATTGTCTAATATTGATAGTGGAATGTTAAAGTCTCCCACTATTATTGGGTGGTAGTCTAAGTCTGTTTGTAGGTCTCTAAGAACTTGTTTTATGAATCTGGGTGTTCCTATATTGGGTGAATATATATTTAGAATAGTTAGCTCCTCTTGTTGAATTGTTACCTTTACCATTACATAATGCCCTTCTTTGTCTCTTTTGATCTTTTTGGTTTAAAATCTGTTTTGTCAGAGACTAGGATTGCAACCCCTGTTTTTTTTTTTTCTTTCCATTTGCTTGGTAAATTTTCCTCCATCCCTTTATTTTGAGCCTATGTGTGTCTTTGCCTGTGAGATGGGTCTCCTGTATACAGCACACCAATGGATCTTGTCTCTTTATCCAATTTGCTAGTCTGTGTCTTTTAATTGAGGCATTTAGCCATTTACATTTAAGGTTAGTATTGTTATGTATGAATTTGATCCTGTCATCATGATGCTATCTCGTTCTTTTGCACACTGATGCAGTTTCTTCGTAGTGTGATTGGTCTTTATATTTTGGTGTGTTTTTGCAATGGCTGGTACTGGTTTTTCCTTTCCATACTTCGTGCTTCTTTCAGGAGTTCTTCCGAGGCAGGCCTAGTGGTAACGAAATCCCTCAGCATTTGCCTATCTGGGAAGGATTTTATTTTCTCTTCACTTATGAAGCTTAGTTTGGCAGGATATGAAATTCTGGGTTGAACATTTCTTTCTCTAAGAATATTGAATATTGGCCTCCAGTCTCTTCTGGCTTGTAGAATTTCTGCTGAAAGGTCTGCTGTTAGTCTGATGGGTTTCCCTTAGCAGGTGACTTGGCCTTTCTCTCTGACTGCCCTTAACATTTTTTTCCTTCACTTCTACCTTGAAGAATCTGATGATTATGTGTCTTGGGGTGATCTTCTTGTGGCGTATCTTAGTGGCATTCTCTGTATTTCTTGAATTTGCACATTGGCCTATCTTGCTAGGTTGGGGAAGTTCTTCTGGATAATATCCTGAAGTTTATTTTGCAGCTTGTTTCCATTCTCCCTATCTCCTTCAGGATTGATCCTCCAATCAATCTCTGGTTTGGTTTTCTCACAAAGTCCCATATTTCTTGGAAGCTTTGTTCATTCCTTTCCATTCTTTTTTCTCTAGTCTTGTCTGTATGCCTTATTTCAACAAAGTGGTCTTCACACTCTGATATCCTTTATTCTGCTTGGTCAATTCTGCAGTTGATACTGGTGTATGGTTCATGAAGTTCTCATGCTGTGTTTTTCAACTCCATCTGATCATTTATGTTTTTCTCTAAACTGGTTATTCTAGTTAGCAGCTCATGTAACCTTTTATCAAGGTTTTTAGCTTCTTTGCATTGGGATAGAACATGCTCATTTAGCTCAGCATAGTTTTTTATTACCCATCTTCTAAAGCCTACTTCTATCAATTTGTCCATCTCATCCTCCGTCCAGTTCTGTGTCCTTGCTCGAGAGACATTGCAATCATTTGGAAGAGAAGTGGCACTCTGGCCTTTTGGATTTTCAGCATTTTTTCATGGATTCTTTCTTATCTTCATGAGTTTGTCTAGTTTTGGTCTTTGAGGCTGCTGTCCCTTGGATAGGGTTATAGTGAGGGCTTTTTTATTGTTGTTGTTGATGCTGTTGTTGTTGTTGATGCTCTTCTGCAGGGCTGCTGCAGTTTGCTGGGGGTTCACTTCAGTCCCTATCCATCTGGTTCATTCCCGCACCTGGACAGCAAAGATGGGTGCCTTCTCCTTCTGAGATCTCTGACCTCAAGGGGCAACAACCTGATGCCAGTAGGATTTCTTCTGTATAGAGTGTCTGGCAACACCTGTTGGAAGGTCTCACCCTATTGGGTGGCATGGGAGATAGGACCTGTTTAATGAAGCACTTTGTCCCTTGGTGGAGGGTGTGTGCTTTGCTGGGGGGAAACCCACTTATCTGGGCTGCCTGGATTCCTCAGAACTACCAGGAGGAAAGGCTAAGCCTCCTGGTTTGCAGAGACTGTGGCCACCCCTCCCCCTAGGGGCTCAGGCCCAGGGAGATCCAGGTTCTGTCACTGAGCCTCTGGCTGGGGTTACTGGAGATCCTGTATGGAAGCCCTACCCAGTGACAGAGAATGAGTCAAGTCAGGCCTGAGGAGGCACTCTGGCCATAGTCTGCCACAGCCAGTGTGTTGCACTGTGGGGGACACATCTTGGGACCAAGCTGTCCAGGCTCCCTGGCTCCAGCAGGGGAAAAGCATGGCCTGGAGTAATAGAGATGAATGTCACCCTTCCCCTGCCCAGGGAGCTTAGTGTGCCAGGCAGTTGTGAGTGTCAGTGCTGGCTGCTGCCCCTCCCTCAAAAAGCTCAATGGGCTTAGACAGAAGTCAGCCACAGCTGTGGTGCTGGTCACCCCTCCTCCTGGGAGCTTGGTAGGCTTAAGCAGATTCCAGCTGAGAGGCTGTTGAGAATCTGCATGGCTCTAGGGTTGGGATGCTAGGCCCCGGTGGTGTGTGTTTGCAAGTGAGAACTTCTGATCCGTGGGTTGCACAGTTCCATGGAAAAAGCATGGTTTCCCTCACTGGATAGCACACTCACTCACAGCCTACCTTGGCAGAGGGGGGTGGGTGCTCCACTGCCCTGTGTGGCTCTCAGGTGGGGCGCCGCACCACATTGCTCTTCCTTCCTCTCCATGGATCACGCCAGCCTGCTAGTCATTTCTGATGAGAGAACCTGTATACCTTGGTTGCCAGCAAAGGATTCACATGCTTATTATGTTTTTTTTCAATACGAGCCTCCGTTCATGGCTGTTTCTCCTTGGCCATCTAGACTCTGCCCCCATATCTATTCTCGAGAATGATCCACATGCTAAAGAGAAGAATATGTATTGTGTAGCCATTGAATAAAATTTTCTGTAAATATCTATTAGGTCAATTTGGTCTACAGTACAGATTAAGTCCAATGTTTCTTCTTTGATTATCTGTCTGAATGATCTGTCCAGTGCTGAAAGTGGGTGTTGAAGTCTCCAGCTATTATTGTATTGAGATGTATTTCTGCCTTTATCTCTATTAATATTTGCAGTATATATCTGGGTGCTCCACTATCGGATATATATGCTTTAAATTATTATATGTTCTTGCTGAATCGACCCCTTTATCATTATATAATGTATATGTTGCCTTGTTTGTTGTTTTTTGTCTTGAAGTGTATTTTGTCTGATATAAGAATAGCTACTCCTACTCTTTTTTAGTTTCCATTGGCATGGAATATCTTATTCCATCCCATTATTTTCAGGCTCTGTGTGTCTTTGTATGTAAAGTATGCTTCTAGCAGGCAAAAAGTCATTGAGTCTTTTTTTTTCTTATCTGTTCAGCCACTCTATGTGTTTTGATTGGAGAGTTTAGTTCATTTACGTTCAATGTTATTATTGATAAGTAGGGATTTACTCTTGCCATTTTATATTTGCTTTCTTTGTCTTCTCAAACTTCTTTCCTTCCTTCCTGTTTTTCTTTTCATTAAGGCAATTTCTCTGATGGTATGTTTTCATTTATTTCTTTTTATTTTTTGTGTATCTGTTGTATGTATTTTGATTTGAGCTTACGATGAGGCTTGCAAATAATATCTTATAAGCCATTATAAAAAACTGATGACAACACTGATTACATAAACAAACTAGCAAACAAGCAAGTAGAAAACTAACAGAAGCTCTACACTTTAACTTTGTCTTCCTGCTTTTTACTTTGTTTCTTTTAATATCTCATTGCATGGTTTATGTCTTGAAAAGTTGTAGTTATTATTTTTGATCAATTTGTCCTTTAGATCTACTTAAGACATGAATCATTTACACAGCATGATTACAGTGTTATAATATTCTGTGTTCTTCTGGGTATTTACTATTACCAGTGAGCTTTGTACCTGCAGATGATTTCTTATTGTTCGTTAATGTATTTTTCTTTCAGATTGAATAATTCCCTTGAGCATTTCTTGCAGGACAGGTCTTGTGTTGATAAAATCTCTCAGCTTTTGTTTGTTTGATGATATGGTTTGGGACTGTGTCCTCACCCAAATCTCATGTCAAATTGCAGTCCCCTCTTTTGGAGGTGGGGCCTGGTGGGTGGCAATTGGATCACGGGAGCAGATTTCCCCACTGGTAATGTGTCACAATAGTGAGTGAGTTCTTGTGACATCTGGTGGTTTAAAGTATGAGGCACCTTCCCACTCTCTCTTGCTCCTGCTCTGCTTCCAGTTTGTCTTGTGCCATGAGTAAAAGCTCCCTGAGGCAGTCCCAGAAGCAAATGCTGCCATATTTCTTATACAGTCTGTGGCACTGTAAACCAATTAGACCTCTTTTCTTTATAAATTACCCAGTGCCAGATTTTTTTTTATAGCTGTGCAAGAATGGACTAATACATCTGGGAAAGTCTTTATTTCTCCTTTATGTTTGAAGAATATTTCCACCAGATATTATAGTGTAAAAGTTTTCTTTCTTCAGCACTTTCAATATGTCATGCCACTCTCTCCTGGTCTGTAAGGCTTCCACTGAAAAGTCTACTGTCAGATGTATTGGACTTTCATTATATGTTATTGACTTCTTTTCTCTTTTTGCTTTTAAAATTATTTCCTTATCCTTGACCTTTGGGAGTTTGAGTTTTAAATGTCTTAAGATAGTCTTCTTTTGTTAAAACCTGCTTGGTGTTCTATAACCTTCTCGTACTTGAATGTTGGTATCTTTCTCTAAGTTTGGGAAGTTTCTTGTTATTATCTCTTGAACAAACTTTATACCTCCATCTCTCTCTCTACCTCAGCTGCCAATGTCATGGATCACACCTGAAGCCAGGAAGTCTCAGTGTCCCACCCAAGGCCCATCATGAATATACCTGGTTACCGCTGCTGATGATTCGGGGTTCATAAGTTCTTTAGTCAACAGGTGATGAATGCTGCCAGGTCTGGGTCCTCCCCTTCAAGGCAGTGGGTTTTCTTCTGGCCCACAGTGAGTCTAGGTTTGTGTCCTGGGAGCAAATACCTGGAATGAAGGCCTCCCACCTCTGCCTGGTGCCCTATCCTACTATGGCTGAGCTGGTATACAAGTTGCAAGACAAAGTTCTTATTACCCTTCTCTCTCCTCTTCTCAGGCAGAAGGAAGAATTATCTCCTGGAACTGTGAGCTGTGCTGCCTGGGGTTGAGGAAGGGGTGGCACAAGTACTGCCTGTGGCCCCAGCTGGTCTACTGATTCCAAGCCCTACAAATTATACTTCTGGCCTTATATTTTTAGTTCTAAAACAAAAATACAAAAAGTAGACATTCTAAATTTAATTATATAAATGCACAATAATGTATTATTGCAACATAATTATCATAAGAGCTATGGTATTTCAGAGGGCCAACAGTGCTCCCATTTTGGCATTTAGGATACTTAAACTGAATTTCTAAATGGAAGAAAGGAGTTAAAATCTGATTTTCTGGTCTTTCTTGTAGGTTCAGATAGGTGAGAAACTTTGAACCTTTTTGAACCTTTCTTGACACATTAACTAAAGCAATTGTTAAGAGGATACCTACAACAGACACAAATAAAATAGAATCTAGTGAAGAACTCTGACTGTATTGGTACAGTAATCAGATCACCTGTATCTAATTACTGTGTTTGCATGTTAAATGATATATTACTGGTATTTATGAGAATCAGTCGCTTCGAGAATGGGAACAAATCTTGTACTCCAGGGGGTGGGATAGGGAATGATCAGTTATGCTGAAAGGATCCAAGAGCTGATGGCTTCTCTGAAACTTAATGGCTTGTAGCAATTCAGCCTTATCTCTTTTGATTGTACATGACCAAACTGTGGAGAGACTTAGACATCAGAAGTTGTGTCTAATGGTCGTGAAGTCACTGCTAAGTAAAGTAAGTTGTGTCTGAGGTCACGAGCTAAGTAAATTTGGTGCTGAGTGTTATCTCATACATATGGTGTCAGTCTGAAATCAAGATCACTATTCCTGCCAAAACAGAGTGGACAATCAATAAAATTTTCATAAAATGGAGAATGCCGTTAATTGACCATTTTGCTCAGAGACTTGCTAAAACAATTTATAGATAAAAGTTGTGCCACACTACACCTTTTTAAAAGCATGAGAATAAATATGCAGTTTAATATTTCAGTTTAATTTGAAATTTACTGGATAAAAATATATTTTAAGTAATAAAAGGAATGAAAAAATTTATTGAACTCTATGGTTCAAATATTTAAATATTCTCAACAAACACAATACACTTGATAATGTTTCATTCCACTGAAATTTCAGTTTTTAAAATAATTTTATAAACACTGTTGTTCTAAAGGTTAATAGTTAGGAAAATAATTCTAAGACATGACATTTATTCTTTAGGCACTAGTTCCAGGAAGATGTTTGTAGATGAAATAGAAATAACTATTAAAAACATGCCATAACGAAAATGTGAAATTTATTATCATATCTATTCTTCCACTGGCAGTTGCTTTTACTCCATTGTTGAAGAAAATTATTTCCTTCTTTGCTCTGCTCTTACTTTACCCTAAATATCTTTGCAATCAGGCATATGATTGACAGAAAGTGAATTTGAAAAGTTGCAGTAACATCAAAAAAGAGAAATGCAAAATATGCTTCTGAAAATAAATATCATTTATTAAAACACATCATATTGGTTTAAAACCTCAAATTTTTAAAGCACATGAGAGAAAGGGGATAGTGATAAAATCTATGTATGAATAGAACATGAGACAATATTTATCCATTCATTTCCTTTCCTTATCAAATATTTAGGGGCAATAACTGTGCCATGTATTGATAATCCCTATGATTTTAATGTGGTATTAAGAATATTAAATAGATATGGTGAGCAATTAAAAATTAGTGTATATAGGTTCTGGTGTTATCTGTCAATCTCTATGTTGTCTGATGTGTTGCCAGGTATGTTTTTCTGTGTGTGTATTTTATTTACATGTTAGCTATAACTGATCTCAGGAAAATGAAGATCACAGTATAAGGTATTCTCTTCTCTTCATTAAGTGTCTGTAACCTTTTGCACAAGATATAATTAACTTAGAAAAAAGATATAATTAACTTAACAACATCTTGGCCATATCTGAAAAAATTTAAGGCAATTTTCTGCAAAAAGTTTGAGAGGAAAAACACACATTGATCAGTACTAAGTAGTAAAAATTTATTGCAATGTTGTCAGTTGCCTTATTCTAGATCAATACAAATCCCACCAAAAGCTTCCTAAATGCAATAAGAATTTGACAAGGCCCTTTTGTCACAGATTAGTGTTAAAGCAATGAAAGAGCCCCCAAGGAAAATCCTCTTTCTGGCTGAAATGCCAACTGTATTCTGTTTCTGAAGTGTTGTGTGCATGTATGACATCTTTATTGATATTGTGGATGTCTGAAAAGAAAGAAGAGCTTAAACATTTTGTGCACTGGGTAATGTAAATGAGAATATAACCTGAAAATTTAAATTTAAATTCATTGTTTCTATCAAAAATCCACTGTTTGATGCATGTTATATTGCTGAGCAGAATTAGATTAGAGAAGCACAATCTCAATTAAGTTCTGCCACATTTTTACACTATTCCATCATATCAATTTTAAATTAATAAAAAACATAATGTAATATTTTCAATAAGACGTAAGAATCATTTAGCAAAGCATTTTTTTTTCCTGAGAAGGAAAAATGTTGTAAATTGAATGTAATTTTAATTTAGGTTTCACCCAAGAAAGCAACCACATAAAATAGTAGAATCTAATTTGGAACTGCAGAAGCAGTTCTCAGGCGCTTGAGACAAGCCGCATTTCATGAATTCTGATAATACCAGAATTTAGTCATCTTGGCAGTATTGTAACATCAGTTTGCATAAGTAAATCCACTGAGGCTTGCTTGTTTTGGTACATGCTTCTTTTGGCACTTTCAATTATTTGGACAGAGAAAGCACATGCATCTTTCATGATATTTATATGAATTTAATTTTATGAAATGTATCAGTTTAACCATATAGAGATTATCTTTTCAAACAGAAGAAAAAATTGATTTGGGAAATGTACTTTCACTTAATTATTTTAGTGCCTTTTTTTTTTTTACTAGTCAGATAAACTCAATTATGCTTTTGATGCTGGACTTGCTTTTTATTCTTTGTCTCTTCTCTATATTCTTGCCTTTCCAATCTCAAACAATGTCCCTTTTTAGTGTAGCTATGTAGCTCTATTTACTACAATTTCTATCTATTGAAGTAATTGGTCTGATTTTTAAAATTATATTAATATTAGTAGGTAATGGAAATTCACAGTAGTATATAATATTGTTTTAGAAATCAGATTATATAAATTCAGAATGTATCTGATAATCATTAGAAAGACACACATACATAATAAATACATTATAAAAATATAGGTATAGAAAAATATGTATAGAAAAATTACATATGTATATTTTATTCTGTATATATACTGAATATAATACAGAATAAAATGTGAGGTGAGCCTAGGCCAGTGCCAGTCTAAGCACAGTGATGTCATTCTATTTATAACTACCGTTATTTGAAGTTAATTTTTGAAGTTCACTTAATGCATACTGCCACCTCACAAGAAGTTCCAGCGTTAAAATAAGCATAACAATATGGGGATTGCGTAACAATATATTCTGCAAATAATTTAAAATAGTTTCTTAGCTTAGTTGCAATTCTTAGCTCCAAGGAAAAGACCTGAAGGGCTACCTTGAATTATTAATTGAGATGTGGAGCAACACAATGCAGAGCAGTGGAGTGGTTTAGATTATTAGTAATGAAAAGAGGACCTAGCCTTATAGTCTGATGGAGTTTAAAAGCCATTATTGTTGTCATTTTCTGCATTATGGACTCCAGTGTAAATATAAAGGCACATATGATTAATTACACAGAAAAGCCTGTTCCTACATAGGGCTGTCACCTGTATCAAAGCTTTAGAACATACTTATATGTAAACATTTGAGAATTGTTAAAGGACATCTAATGATATGAAAGGAATGTGGCTTTGTGAAGAAAGTATATCAGGCTTCAAACATAGGCTCTGCAACTGACTAAGCTCTGTGCCTTCATGAAATTTACTTCAGCTCTTTGGCTCCAGGTACCTGACCATAAAAAAAGGTGGGGGGAGCATAAGTCATGACATACATTTCTGAGTTTTATGCCTTAGAGCCTTCATACTCTCTGTTTGCAACTAGAGAAATAGCATTTTTATGCGAGTCCTTCATCCACTGTCATAATAAGTAGTCCCCGCTATCACATTTATTTCTTTTTTTTTGTTCTGCCCATGAGGCTTTATTTTTCTTGTCTCTCCTTCTGGCCACTAATTCCTAATCACTGGGTTTTGTGACTATATCTTCCTGAGCTGGTCCCCTAAATGCACTCCATGGCAAAACCTGATAGACTTCCCCAATCCCAAATCTTCAGACCAGGGCTCAAATTGAAGCCTATGTTGGAACATGGCCATGCCTATTAGTTTATGCCATGTCTATAGCTGTGATCACCACAAAGGCAGAGATGGTGACAGAGACCTTATGACCCTAAAGGCCTAAAATGGTTACTATCTTGCTTTTGACAGAAAGAGGTAAAGACCTCTGAAAGAAAGACCTCTGCTCTAGTCAATACAGTGGCGGTCTGCTTTTATCATGAGTTATTTCATGTCCAGTTCATCTTTCTGGAATACGGAAGATGGATTTAAACACTCCATTCTGTCCTGCAACTATAGTGCCTCTGCTTTCATAATAGACATTAAAAAATCATTCAGTAAACAGATCAGAGCACTAACCTTTTTTAAAAAAAAGCTTTTAATTGATCAAATTAAACATAATCTCCAAGATGTTTTTGACATTAAACTTAACATTTTGCTTCCTTATCCTAAAATAGTCTTTAAATGGTATTACAACAAGAACATATATACTAGGCATTAGAGCACATTTTAATTTCTAATGGTGAATTTTGTGTCCTTCTAAAATCATTCACAGATTGTAATTACCTTCAATCTCAATTTTCCAAAGACCTGGATTCCCAACTCAGGTGGAGAAATCTTTAGCTAATAACCCTTTTTCCTTAAGATATTTATGTTTCTTGCACTTCACATGTACTTAATTTTGAAAAACAAAACAAAAAGTGCTGCAGTTTCTATTTTTATAAATATAGCACCTTTTGTGACTACTAAAACTGGTGTAAGAATCATTAAATAGATACTTTTATTCATTGAGCTATGATGCTCCTTTGGCTGTGCACATGGAATAAATCAGGCTGAGCAGTCATACTCTCCCTAAGGGCCTCCAATTGGGCTGAAATATCTTTCTGCCTGAAGTCATATGGTTTGGAACCTAATCAAAATGTGTGGATTAGGATTCTTGAGCGTTTTTGACAGTCTAGGGAACAGATAGAAATGAAAAACTGAGTCTCTGGGTAATTTTTATGTCAATGCTTTTTGCAAATACTGACAATACTGAAAGGGGACATAGCTCATTTTAATTTCCACTAAATCAAGTATGGCTTCTATACACCATCTCTGCGTTTCCGAATGGATATTTTGTAACAGCTTTCAGAAGTTAGCCTTAGAGATAGAAAGAACAAAGGAACATGTTGAATTTTATTTCACAAAACATTGAAAACATTGTCTTTGGAGATGGCTTCTGTGACTGCCCTCCTTACAATACTACTTTAAACATTGTACATCCTGCTTGTCCTCAGGTACATACTATTTCTTTATTCCTTCTGAGGATATGAAAACATGCTTTTCACAAAAGAGACTAACACATTTCTAAACAATAGTAATAAGACCTTTCATTATTAGATACAACAAAGATTTAGAGCATCTGTGGATGATAAATATGGCATCTTACATAGTAAGCATTCTTTCTCAAAACACCATTAATTTGATTATCTTTTGCTTTGTAGCAAACACCCAAAACTCAGTTAAAACATCTTTTCTTATGAGACAGAGTCTCACTCTGTTGCATAGGCTGGAGTGCAATAGTGGGATCTTGGCTCACTACAACCTCTGCATCCTGGGTTCAAGCAATTCTCATCCTCAGCAACCTGAGTAGCTGGGGTACAGGCATGTACCACCATGCCCAGCCAATTTTTGCAATTTAATAGAGTTGGGTTTTTGCCATGTTGGCCAGGCTGATCTCAAACTCCTGACCTCAAGTGATCCACCTGCTTCAGCCTCCCAAAGTGCTGGGATTATAGGCGTGAGCCACTTTGCCAGCCTAAAAACATCAGATATCTTTTTTATAACTTATTTAGTGTTATGCATCTGAAATTTGGACTGGGTACAACAGGGAGGCTTGTCTTGCCTCCGTGATACCTTCCCTGGGTCCTAAGCTGGGGCTATTCATTAGGTTGTGAGGATTTGAAATGGTTTGACTGTGTTCTAAGTTTAGGGCTTCAGTTCTGTCTGTCATTGAGAACCTTGGTTCCTCTCTACATGCTGTCTGCTAAGGCACTGGTTGGTTCAGGAATCTCTCTCAGTGTTCAAGCCTCTCCGCATGGCTAACTTGGGCTTCCTCACCACGTGGCGTTCTCAGGATAGCCAGACTTTTCACACACAACTGGCTTCTCCCTGACTCTTCCAAGAGTAGGAGGTGGTCACCACAAAGCTTTTTTCATCTGAATGTTCATCTGGATATTCAGTCTCTGAAGTCACAGAGGACACTTTTATGCACTGTAGATCAAGCAATGTGCTAAGAACAGGCAAAATCCAGGGAGAAGGGGATATAATGGCAGGAACAGAATGCACAGGCATAGTGGAAAGGAAATAATGATTATTGAGAATGGCCACTTTGGAGCCCAATGAGACAGAATATTAGAGGATGTGATTCCCTGAGTACTTTGCTTCTATTCTCACCTTTGTCGCTTATCTAATGACAATAATATGAAGATGGGCAAAGAACACTGGATTTAACATGAGGGAGCCCTAAATTGCATTTGCTAGCTATGTGGATTGGCATACCTCACATTACCTCTTTGATCTTCACTTCCTCCCTTGAATATGGAAACCATACGGCATATGGTTGATACTCTCTAAACTGGAACTGCCAGGATTTCTTTCTTAGGTTTAATGTCATTGTTCTCTTTTCATCAAAACATAATTAAAATGAACCTTGTTGTTATTGCCATTCTCACATAATACTATTTGTTGTCTCTTTGCTTTTCTCCCGGCCCAAGTTGTAATACTGTCAGAAACAAGGGTTACAAACTTGGACTTCTTATTGTATTTGTAACCAAAGGAAGTCTTTCTATGTATGGCTTAGAGGTGTTAAAGACTAGATTATTGAAGAATCCTTATGTTACTTGATGAATTAAAAGAAGATTTGTAGCCTCGGTCAATGAAAGACATGTAGCCCAATACCGAATAACATATGCTATGTGCTGTTATGCCACTTGTACATCATAAAACACATAGTGGGGATCAGTCACACTAAAAAGAGAGCTTTCAGAAGCCAGAGCAAAACAGGTAACAGATGTTCCAGTCAGATGCTCGAACTAAAATATGTATTATCACTGGCATCTGAGGCAGAAATAAATGGGATTTATTCCCTACGTAGGTTTTTCATTACTCTGCATTCAGAAGAGTATTATAGTTAATTTCGTATCTCTTATTCAAAGTGAGTGGTGTTATTCCTGAGAGTATCAATGTTATATGGTGAATTGTGTTGTAAAAATATTACTTACTATTACTGAATTTGACTGTGTATAAAGCCCTGTGTAAATTAATACAGAACTCTATATTTTTATACCTGACTTATTGTTTACTAAAAATACTATAAAGGGTATAATTTTTAAAATAAGTTGTTTTAGTTATTTACTTTTTAAGATAAATTAACATATTTGAAAATATCTGGCAAAAAAGTCACATAACAGATGTTTATTAAATGTTGCAAATCTCATTGTAACATATTGGTGACTTATCAGATGCAGTGATTTCAGTTATTGGTGGATTACATTTAGTTGCTACTGGGTGTATTTCTGAAAGCTTAGCTTTTTTCTTCACTTACATATTTCTAAGTTTGCATATGTAAAACTCATAAAGACACAGAGAAAAATTATAAAAGAAAGAATGAAAATTAAAAACAATGAGTATATCGGCTCTCTGTGCCACAGCCTAGGGATCCATCCGATCAATCCACAGGGGAACAAAAAGGATTGCTCCAGAGCAGCCCCTGACTCCCTTCCCTGGAGGGATGGAGGGCAAGAGCTTTGACAAATGACTTTCATGCTGGCCATTTGAGCTTTGAGTAGACCATGGTTCTGGGAGAGGGGCAACTGCCACCTCTGGGTCCCCAGGGTCCCTGCTGCATGCCTGGGGTCAAGCTGTGCTCTATCTCCTTCCCACTGGCCTCTAGGGTATGGATTCCGGATTTATGTCTAGCGTCCAAGACTTTGAAAAGATATTACGGCTAGATTTGTATTAGTTGCCTTGGGAAATCATGAGCCTCCAACATCAAATAGCACAGTCAGTGGCCATTTACTACCTAATCACAGTCTAACTTCTCCAAGTCAAGTCAACCTGTCTGCAGATACAGTACCAGTGTTCTCTTATTCTAGCAGTAAAGATGACTTCTACGATGCTGGTGAATTCTCCAAAAGTGGTTCATTCTCAAAGTACTTTAATAGAATCTTCTTGATCCTTCTTAGTCTTGACACAAAGTAGCTCTGGAAGTAGTCTAAAGTGCCTACTTACCACAGAATCATTTAATTACTT
The DNA here is from genome assembly GCF_000001405.40 of Homo sapiens. Classification (NCBI taxonomy): domain Eukaryota; kingdom Metazoa; phylum Chordata; class Mammalia; order Primates; family Hominidae; genus Homo; species Homo sapiens. The sequence goes on from NC_000003.12 coordinate 80,163,624, forward strand.
CATATCCAGTGGAACAAGTGATGCTCATCTTTTTGATTTACATGGTGATAGAGAGGATGTTGCAGAGGCAGTCAGCAGAGGAGCATAAGAGCATTATCATGAATGTCTTGTCATGGGTTAGACTTGGAATGAATCTTACTAAGATAGAATGAAAATAGTTCTTCAAACATTTATTCTCGAGAGATCTCTTAGAAATGTATGCAGACTTTTTTTTTGCATCTGTTTTTGAACATTAGTGATGAGAAGGGTCCTAGTGAGTGAATGGTTTAGGTTATAAAATGGTACCTCTCAGCCTTTCATGCAAGAAAAAAAAAAAAAGAATTGGTTGCCAAAATGTCATACAACACCATTTTCAGTGAGATGTTTTAGTATCACTAGATATTACCTAATGATATTGAAGATAACACAGAGCTAGTTTCAGAAGCACCAGTTGCCTAGGTCTCCAAAAATAGTGTAACATTCATGGCTTAGCAGGTTTCCCATCATGCATCCATTGCAGCCTTTTATTCTGAGTGTTTTAACAAGAAGATACAATTTGATGCTCATATCTGGAACAAATAAAAATTCCATGGGATGTCAATTGAGGTGCACAGCTAGGGCAAGGCTATGTCTTCTGTCTAGAATATGATGAGCACTACACTTTCACATTCCCCTGTGGTTATGGAAGGTTTATCCTCACAGTGCCCTGTGGGGAATTAGGGAGAGAATGCAACATTAAATGTTTCAAACTGGGCTATAGCGTCTTCTACACTTTCTGTGGGGGCAAGAAGCACAGAATTATCCCTGACATTTTTTCTCCAAATGACAAGAAGTCTTTTTGCTCAATTGAAGGGAAATGGAATGATGTAATGCATGCCCAGTATGCAAAAAGGGGAAAACACCGCCTTTGTTGATATCATGAAGTTGCTTATAATCAAGAAGAAAGTGAGGAAATTGAAAGAACAGAATGAGGATAAATCCAGCTGCCTTTGGAAAGATGTCATTCAACTTAAGAATCAGAGACTTTGCTGTGTCAACTGAGGCAAAGCACAGACTTGCAGAAAGGCAAAGAGCAGAAGCCTGAGAAAGGAAGGAACAGAAAATTCAATGGGGACAAGGTATTTCACGAAGACGGAGAATGCTGGGTCTACTATGAACCATTGCAGAAAGATTTTTGTGCTGCCAAGCATTAGGTTGAGAAGTATAAAGTTTACAACTGAAGACCAGGTCAGTAAGCCTAATAAACAACAATCAATCTTGCTTTGAGAGAACTTATTCAGTCCCTACTTATTGTAGCGGCTTCTATCTCAGGGATAGTGGACTTTCCAATGCACATGGACAGTTCATTTGGGAAAAGCTTTCTTTTATTCCTCCAAAAAAAAGTGAGTACATTTGTTCTTTAAGCTCAGAGCCATGCCATAAAATATAATTCCCTAGAAATTGCAAAATTCAACAGTGCAATTAAGCACAATTACTTAAAAGCAAGAGAAAAAGATAATGAAAATTGGTTAATATATAGACATGAAACAGCCCAGACTTCTATTTACTTTACTGATCTAAAGAATAAAAGAAAATAAGTGGTTCACTTAAGCTCCATGGCAAAAGTGCCACATTCAAGCTGCCTCTCATTAGATAACCTAGCAGCATCCTTTGTAAATCTGGTTAACACTGAGGGTTACTTGTACTCCTCCTAACTTGGGAATTCATTTTGAATGCTATTGCAGTGGCTGTAGCTGTCTTTTCTCATCTAAAAACTAGCACTGATGATAATTGCTTAGTCTTTACACTGCTTAGTTTTCAAGGAGTCTTTGACAAGCCTCCTCTGTAACGTTTTCACCAGGTGTCATTTATAGGGACAAACTTACAAGTCACAAATAATAGGACTGAATTGCAGGTGCACTCGGACTTTTACAATATCAAAACAAGAGGCTAGAAACTAATTATTACAGAATGTCACAGCCACATATTATATCAGAAAGAGAAATGAACTTACAAAAGGGAATGTTCTTTTTAAGTATGATCGTCTCATTGAGTTCATTGTAATAAGTTTCTCTTCTTTTTTTCCCCAGTAATAAAGCCTTATTTTCTCAGAGTAGCTGTTTAATAACTGCTACACTCTGTATCCTTTATTATAATAACTGTGCATCAAATCTTCAAAATTGGATAAAGTACTTCATCCTTTATCAACTCGTTTCCTCTATAGACAAAATAAAGCCAGTGAAGATGTCATTCTTGTTCTTCGAAACAAGTAGATTAGTCCATTTTCTCATGGGATTTAGCAAAGTCCTTCAACAGATGTGACTGGCAGAGGAAGAACCTGAAGATGCTGGCCCCAGGGAATAGACTGCTGCCTTGATAAATCTTTGGGTCATAAAAGGTCATCTCTTGATGTTTGTAAGAAAGATTGACTTACTAACAAATATCAGCAAGAGATCTTTCTGTAGTGTAAAATATAAAGAAAGAAAACTAACATTGAAAGAGCATTTGCATGTTAGCAGTGCCAATACCCAAACAAGTGCAGGTAAAGTATTTTCAGTTACACATTTACTGTAAATGATTTTTCAAGTCATTTCTGCGGGAAAATATTTGCTTTTCTTAGTTGTTTATATTTTCAGTGGGCTCTATAGAAACTACACAGTGAGCCTCCACACAGGCAATTTTAAGCCATAATAAAGTAATTATGGCCAGCTCCAGGAAATGCTACTTTGAGATCCAGAGGTAAAATAAAAAATTGAAATTATAAGGTGCTTCATAAAAGCTGCTAGAAATTAAAAATCGCATTGACAGTTGAGGTCGAATTACTTATTATTAATGAATTCATATACCTCACTCTAATATTTGGCTGCAATATTTTCAGCTTGCAAGACAACAGTAATAAGTAAGATTTAAAAACAAAAATAAAACAGGGTGATCCAAACAGTTCCACTAGAACCACTCTATCACATTAGTAATTCTTAAATTTAGGAAACAAATCATTTCTTCCTTCAACTTGCTTTTAAAACAATTAATTAGGAAATTGAATTATTCTGAGTATATGCTTACAATGATTTGTCCTGCTGTGGGGAATGATGCCAGCCATATTGCCAATGAAACATTTTTTTCTTTCTTTCTTTTCTGTATGTTTTTTCTTCTGTTCCTACCTGTTTGAAAAATAGTTCATCTTCCCTCCCGTTAATGTTAGGATCCTTTCCCTAATACCTAGTGAATTAATCTCATATACTAAGTTCTCAATGTGGGAGCCGTACCCTAGGAAATTTTTAAGCACTCCATGTTGTGTTAATTTTTGTATGAAAGCAAAAGAGAAGGATGAGTTGACACTTTAAAAGAAGTGTTTCTTTTTTGTTTTGTTTTGTTTTACTAAAAGGAAACAAACAGAGACTCCTGACCCACACAACCCTTGGTCACAATGATATAAACCTTATTTTATTTATTTTAAAGTTTGATGTCTAAATTTTAATGTTATGTATCACTACACACACACAACACTCACATACATATACACACAGGCATATTGCTAGATTGTGGTGTCTGACAAGTATTTTAAAATAGAACTTTGCTTCTCATATATTATAAATTCAATAGTTGGATGTGCTCCCAGGATTTTTTCATATATAAGGATGTATATGACTGTCCCATTCTTCTCCAAAATATTCTCAACAATATATGACTTCTTCCAAATAATAAATGTTTTTAATAACAATTGGGGATTTCAAAAAGAAATATATAGAAAACAGTGATGTAGCAAGTAGGCACATATTTTACCTATAGACATTTTGGGGAATATAAATTATCCTATGTACTGGGCAATATGGGATTTGTGTACAGCATTAGAGTGTAAAGGCTGCAGTTTCATGAAGGATTTCTGAGGTCACATAATGATAATAGGAGGAATAGTTGTAATTTTTTAAAGCCCTTTGTATGCATCATTTTAATTCTTACATATCCTTGCACACGTATTACCTCTTTTGTTTCATGAATGATGTCCATAGATATTCAATTACTCACCCTGGGTCACAAAGATTTTTGGTGGAATAGTGGGGCTTTCATTATAGATGTGTCTATCTCTAATACCAAATGGTTTACCAATCTAAGGCTGATAGGGTCACATATTTTTACCATAATATAGAAAGTGCTAATAAGAAAATGCAGCTTTGATAAAGCAAAAGACCCACATTTTCCAGATGCATTTGAGTCAGTCTTTTAAAGGATGCAAGGATCCAGGAAAACATGAAGAACATAGACCTTTGGAAAAACTGTTATTAATAAATTGCATCTTGTAGAAGTGGGAGGAGCCTCGGAGTGATTATTGTTCCTGAAAGGTTGAGACTCTACCAACTAGCTGGAAATAACACATAATGTTCTATTCTGTTTAGAAGCTAGATCTGGACATTGAAAGAAACTTCCAGTCAGAGAAGACTTGAAATGACTGAATACAACTGACATAGAATATGTCTCAGGAAACAACCCATTCAAGCAACTCATTTTACACAAAGGAAATGAAGTGCTACAGAGGTTACACAATCTTGGTCTGTCATTTTATATAGATTTTTCCCAGAAAATCTCATATAATCCCTGTCATATGCCCATTACTCACATCTAAGCCAAGCAGAACGTCTCAGCCTACCTCCAAAGGCACATATGCTGACCCCATTGGTTAGAATTCCCTTTCTCCATTTGCTACCTGGAAAACACCAAATTATGCTCTTTCAAGCATAGGATCAAAGGTACAATGCATTTCTTCGGTAAAATCAATCAATAAATAAGTAAATAAGTGAATTTAAAATTGCCATTTCTTAATTGCATTGGCTATTCTTGAATGATGGTTGGAAATAAGTTTCTACAGCTTGGAAAATATCTAGGACTAGGGAATGTGATTCAGTGTCCTTGGGAGAAGAACATTTGAGCATTCAAAGCCTTCCCCAGCTTCCAACCCCCTTCCTAGTAAAATGATCCCAAGCTCTACAAGCCCAGGTCCCTGAACTATTCACATGGCCCTCACCAGGCTGCTCACAACTGCAGGGACTGGATATTGGTGTCTGAGCACAAGACTTTGAGTCAGCTTCCAAAAAGAGGACTGGTTAAGAGGGATGGTGCCTTCTGGTTTGCAATTTTCTGACTCCTTTGGGAGTTTGAACATGAGGTATGAGAGAACTGTCAACCAGCTTTGAGTGGTGCTGTGTATTAGTTTGTTTTCACACTGCTAATAAAGGCATACCTGAGACTGGGTAATTTATAAAGAAAAAGAGGTTTAACTGACTCACAGGTCCACATGGCTGGGGAGGCCTCACAATCATGGTGGAAGGCAAAGGAGGAGAAAGGCACGTCTTACATAGTGGCAGGCAAGAGAGTGGGGGCAGGGAAACTCACTTTTAAAAAATCATCAGATCTTCTGGAGACTTATTCACTATCATGAGAACAGCATGGGAAAGATCCGCACCTATGATTCAATTACCTCCTACCTGGTCCCTCCCAGTACACATGCGAATTACAGGAGCTAAATTTCATGATGAGATTTGGGTGGGAACACAGCCAAAACATATCATGCTGTGAATCTGTTGTGGAAATAAAAAGCAGAAGAAGCAATGATTTGGAGGAACTCACTCACTAAGGCAGATAACTGTTAAAAGGGTAATGGACACAGCCTCCTGACTGGGGGATCAGAAAAAGTAAACTAAAAGATGGCCAGAAGGACATGTCTTCGGAAGTCTTACCTGTGTGGCCAAGATGGTTTTTCTCTCATTTTCTTAAATCTCACATCTCCATGTGTAGATCCTCACATTGCTTGAGAGACCCTGATCGTATCTCCACCTCTTGTAGCTTTGCATGGGAGTGTCATGTATAATTTATGAGGGAATGAAGTCAGTTCACCAAGTGTTTCTCATGATAAAAATGAAGAAGCGACTTCTTGTAAAAGGCCAATATTTATTATTATTATTATTTCATCTTTCATTATAAAACTAAAAAATCTCATTAAAAAGCAAATAAAATGTAAAAACTGTCAACAATAGAATTAAAATATGTCTCTCATTTTCATGAGAAAATCAGAATTAAAATATAACTTTGATAGTTTATGTATAGTTTGTAAACATGTTAAGCAGATGAGGAAAAATCTAAGGTTTTTTTTAACATTAGAAGTATTAAATTAACAAAAAAACACTAAGGTGTTGAAAATTTTCACAGGCACTAATGACCTCCATCTTACCACTCCCAATCCATGTTTTTATCCTCATTTTAATTTACATCTAATCAACATTTATTGTTGTCTCTTTGTCTATAAAATAAAAATCCAGAAATTATATTTCCTTAAACCATTTTTTAAATTAGGTGAGGTAACACAGATCAAATAATACACAGATTCTTGATAATTTTTTGGTTGTCCAACCTGAATTAAGTAAAAAATTTACAGAAGAAAGAGAAGTAAGTTAAATATATTCAGTTACATTAATTTTTCTGAAGTAAGACTCTAATACTTCTTGGAATTATATAGGGAAAAGTTTATGTCTTTAAATTAAGTTTATTCTATAAGTTAAGCAATAAAGATACCTTAATTGTCTATTTCTAAGTTAGTGAGGCTGATAATAAATAGTAAATTTGGTGGAAAATAAAAATGATATGTGCTCCATTTCAAAAAGTCATTGAATAGCAATGTATTTTACCAAATAGAATGTGATTTATATAGTCATATGTGTATGTCCCATAATACTCTAACAAATTATTAGTAAAGCAGTACACTAAATATATTTCCCAACAAATTATAATTAGAAATGTAAATATCCCAATTAATAATAGAAGGCACAGGCATTTAGTTACTTCATAAATAGGAACTAATTTAAATATATTCATGCCCTGTAAACTGTTGCTTGGTTTCTGCTTAGAGTAATTAGGCAACCATGAAATTAAAGGGAATAATTAGATTACATTTTCCATCACATTGTAATTTTTTAAGGTTGGAACAGAAGGAGTAACAGATAATAGAGCCCAAATTTTCTCTTTCCATTAATTTAGCATGATTTCTCAAAATGCATTTTATTTTTATAGCTAAATGTACATGCTCTATTCCATATACCTGTTAGCTTTTACTTAAAATAATTGTAATACTTTAAAAATAAATAGATTTTTCTGTTACCTCTAGATTTCTGCTAATTATATGTTGAAAGCATGATTTATAAAGGGAAAAAGAAAAGGCCCCCGTTATCTATTTGGCTAAGGCGCTCACCTCCTTTAAGTGTGTGCTCAGCTTTCACCATTCTAATGTGACCTACCATGACCGACAGAGTGAATATTCTATCTTGGCACCCAGTCTTCACCAGTAGCATTCTGGCACCCCTTATTCTTTGTTTTCATTCTATAACATTTATCTTCTTAATACACACATGTAACTAGCTTGCTATTTATTTTTTCTTCCTCATGGTTAACTCCTGGACGGCAAAGATCTTTGTTTCTCACAGATGTATCCCAACCTCATTTAACAATGTTTATTTAAGGAATAAATATATTTGATAAATACATTTTATTGGATTACATTTTGCTCATTCACTGTGCTAGGAAAATCAAGTTTTAGTGTGCTGAAACTTATTTAGAACACTTCTTTAATCTTAGTATGTATTTTAAGGTTTTTTTGTATGAACGGTTGTTTAGTAATCTTAGAATCTGCCAGTCAATCCTCCAGAAGTTGGGAAGGAAATGTAATCCTGAAGTTCAATTTAAAAGCAGCACATTTACTTATTTTTTATCTATTTGTTAATGTTGCTAATATGAAGCTGTCTAAAATTGTGATATGTTTCAATAAGAAAAACGTAATAAAGGATGGTTAGGAAATGCAGTCTCATTCATTGGTTGATAATTTTAATGGAAGGATAGCTATCAATATTTAAAAATATGTCATGATAAGACATCCAGGAAATAGCTTCAAGTTTTAAAAAATACATCTTCAGGGTGCTGGTGACGTAAATGGTGAATTTGCAAAGCCAAATACTAAATAGTTTTTGCTTCTGATTACTCGCTTAGGTAGATGTAGAATTTCATCAGGGAGAGAAATATATATATTAAAATGAGTTGTATTCAATTGTTGTATAGAAATAAGAGCAAATCTGCTGTGTGTGGGGATAGTGGGAAGTTTTGATGCATAGGTCACATGTGTATGTCTGTGTGTGTGCATGTGTGTGCATGTGTGTATGTGTGTGTATGTGTACATGCATGTAGTGTCCAGAACTTGCTAAAGAGCTTATAACTTGCCTGTGATTCCATCTGAAGACTTTATTAACTGGATATGGCATCACACATGACAGAGGAGAAAAATCAAACTGACCTTGTACGGAAAGCTAAATGTGAGTTCTCCCTTCTTCAAAGAATTGCAAATTGGCTAATTTGATAAAGTCTGAACTTTATCAGATTTCTTATTTGGTAAAGTCTAAACTTTATCAAATTCTTTATCAATTTCTGGTAGTATCTATTTCATCCCTTTATAGTTATTCTGTCCCTGAGACACAGCAGAGTGTTAAGACAAAAATGAGTAACAATTTTGTGGTCAAAAGAAAGAAAAACAAGCTCCAGCCCTGTGTCTTACTGAGTGTCAGTTGACATTCAAGTCCCATAACTGCCTCCAGCTTTCCTGGGAATGCTGTGGATGGCAGGTCTATTTTCCTTGAGAGCCACTTAGAATTTTCTTTTGTGACCTTCTGAGACTGCTCCTTATTCTGCCTCCTGCAACTCTTTATTACAATTGCTTTTGCCCCTCTGACCCTGAGTTGCCTCTGAAGTTTCACCTTTTGGTCTCTGCCAATCTGGATCTCATTTTCTCTTTTACAGCCATGAGGACTGGCAGCTTTTACTGAGTGAAGAGAGAGGGCATTTCTACGAGTATTATAGCTCATTAATTAGCCAGCCTGTAGAATTTGTCCTCTTAGTTCCCCTCTCAAAAATCATGAAACAGGTGACAATAGGCTTGGATCAGCCCAGCGTGGTACTCAAGACGTCCCACAACTCACGCCTGCCCAGTCAATCAGCTTGCAGTATCAGTCAAATTGCATGTGCTCAGCTGAGCCTCTTCTGATGGAAATTTCTTTTTGCACAGCTCATAGTGTGATAGAACGGGTTAGAGAGTAGTAATATTACTATCTACACAGTGTTTTGTTTATAACATTTTCAACACCACTTATTAAGAAGTAATTTAACAAGTATTTATAGAATGCCTACCATATGATATTATACATACAATATATGCAGAATATTTTATACAAATATTTGTTTTATCATAAAACAGTCATGTATTTGTTACAATTAGTATTCTTTAAAAACTTCAATTCATGAGATGTTTTAGACCTTATGAAGGCAAAAATTTTTTAAAGAGAAAAAAAATAAACACTTCAGCATTGGCATTAGGGTGAAGCTTGCTATTAACCTGTCTCCAGTGTTTTTAAGCAAACATGAATAGTATTGCACAAGGAGAATGCATCAGAACCTTGACTTTTATAAAATTCACAATACAACTTCAAGATTTCCTTGCAGACAAACTGAAGGTACTGTGGCCTTTTGAAGGTTGATTGCTGTGTTCACTTCTGCTCTTGGACAAGCCAGAGCTGCCAGCTTGTGCCCGTGTTGTGGAGCTGACCGATGTTTTCCCATGTGTTATATTTGTTGCTGCACAGGCTCAATAGCGTCTACCTAGGATTTTACCTAGATTCTAGGCTTCTAACTTCTCCCAGGAGATAAAATTTTGATTATTCTACAGAAGATTTTCAGCTTGACTAATTATCTAACAAAGACAAATAAATCTGGGAGGCCTGCATTTTAAGTGATATTCACATATTTATATATTAAGGGAAACTATAGATGACATTGTTTTAAGGTGAGAAAGTTACTACAGATAGTAAATTGGGAAAAAAATCCTTTGCAAATGCAATAGATTGATTTTATAAAGCCACAAATATAGAGAGCTAGGAGAAATTATGAACAGCCCTTTTAATTGTTAATTATGTAATTATGGCATTTCAAAATTTTTCTTGTATGGCCTAATGAGAATTTTGTAACATCAAGGCTACATCTTAAGTGTTGTTGGATGCTCATGGAATGCTCTTCCTAAATTTCATTTTCATTTTTTCTTCCTAGTGTTTCTGCATTTTATCAGATAGAAAATAAAAGGGTGTATTTATATTACTGCTAGTAATTTTGACTAGTGTAGTTGATATTGCTTTACATTTATATTTCTGTATCTGTCTTTCCTTTTCAACTCCATTCTTTTCACTGATTTCTCCCTCTGCTGTTTGTTTGTTACTCCCCATTTTATTAGATGATGGGACATTGGCTGCAGTTTCTGAATTTTAAAGTTTTCTTATTTTTTCCTTTAAAAAAATAAGTAAGTAAATGATTTCAAATTTTAAGAAAGCAGTCCTCCATTTGGAAATAAAAATATTAATTAAAGTTTAAGCATATTGCATTGATGATAAACTCTTGATAAGGTATAAGCAAAAAGACAAATGGACTTTCATCCTGAACTCATCCTGAACTCATCCATTAAGTAACGGCTACTATTCCTGATTTTCTAAATTCTGGTTAGTTCTAGCCCTCAATCCCATACATAAAAGAAAAACGTGAAGGAAAGTTATGCTAGTATAGTATACTATACCAATTAATTTAGCAAAAATTGCCAAGTTTGACAGTGTATTCTTTTGGCAAGGCTAGGGAAAAGGAAGTATGCTCATATATTTCTGGTAGTACTGTAAGTTGGTACATGCCCCATGGAGAAATATTTGGCAATATCTGTCAATATGAGAAATTAATATACCCTAGGACCAACAACTTCACTTCTGAAAATTTATCCTTTGACACACTTGGCACACACGTAATAGACAAATGCTCAAAGTCGGTCATTGTAGTGTTGTTTGTAACAGCAAAGAATTGGAAACCATACAAATGTCTATTAGCAGAATATTGCTTAAATACATTATAGCACACACAGTGATATGGAAAATATTGAGCGGCCCTAAAGAAGAAAGAGGAGTCTATACACTTATGGAGAAAAATGATAAATAACACTCTAAAATAATAAAAAAGTCATAGAAAGGCATATGTCAAATATGTTAATTTTATACAAAAAGGTCAAAAATAAGAATATGTATTTGCATTTGCCTGTATATGCTGAAAAAAAACTGTAAAGACACATACATTCACACATAAAAGCTGTTATCTAATGGTGACTGGATGAAATGCAGAAAAATAAGGCATGAAATGAGAAGTGAAAATTCCACTGTATTTCATTTTGTTGGAGCATCATAAGTATATTCCTTATTATACACACTGATATTTATTATAATATTATACACACATAAGCACACAACAGATCTGGTCAATGTGGAGAAGAAAATGTATCAGAAAACTAATGATAACTCTAATTACTACAATTGAGCAGAGAGCTTGGTTCCAAAGAAATTCCTGGGGTAATGGAAATATTTCTATGTTGATTGTGGTGGTGGCTTCTTCACAGGTGTGTATTTTTCTCAAAATTCCTCTATTGGTACACCCTAAGTTGATGTGGGTTATTAAATACAAATTATACCTCAATAAAGTTGATTAGAATAGCTTTGTGCTGGACTTCCAAAGTTAACAACAATAATAATATCAATGTAAACTATTATATATAGACTACTCTGTCATATGGATGTTGTCTTTTGTAGAGATTTATGCAAAACAAAAAGCATTCCTTCAGGTGCATAACATTAAATCACATGTGAAGACATTTCTAAAGAGTGCTAAAGCAGTCTGATTTGGTCTATGCTTTATCAGCCCTTAGAAGATAATGTCCACATAAACGACCTATCATTTCATTTTTCTTTTCTTTCCTTTTCTTTTCTTTTTCTTTCTTTCTTTCTTTATTTTTTTTTTTTTTGAGATGGAGTTTTGCTCTTGTTGCCCGGGCTGGAGTGCAATGGCACAAACTCAGCTCACTGCAACCTCCACCTCCTGGTTCCAGTGATTCCCCTGCCTCAGCTGCCCTTGTAGCCTGAATTACAGGTGCATGCCACCACACCCGGCTAATTTTTGTATTTTTAATAGAGATGGGGTTTCACCATGTTGGCCAGGCTGTTCTCGAACTCCTGGATGTAGATGATCTGCTTCAGACTCCTAAAGTGCTGGAATTACAGGCGTGAGCCATTGCGCCATACAATTAACTTATTTTTTTCAAGGAATTTATTACCATTTTACATACTATATATTATTTATTAAGTACTGCATCTGTCCCCTCCCTTTAGAATGTCAGCTCCTTGAGGACAGACACTTTGTTTAATTTGCTGCTGGATCATTGGCACCTGAGGTTCTTAGGAAGCAGTAGGTACTCTGTAAGTACTTGTTTAATCACTATTAATAAATACATGGTTTAAAATATGTTATTTAAAAGTCCCTGACAAAGTTGTTATGATGGAAAGTCAGATATTCTTTCTTATTAGCTTTAAATAACTGAGATTTCCTCCAGTTTTGGAATGATTTATCTTGTATTTGACTGAGTTCCAGAGGAAGTGTTTGAGCCTTTGGATTCTATCGTTTTAAGTTCAGGAAGAAAAGAAAGAGCAAGCCAAGGGAATTGAGGAAAAATAGCATCAAGACAGGCAAAAACAATGAGCATGTTTCCCTGGAAGAAAGAAAAAAAAATATGTATATATGCCTATACAGGCATATATAGTGTATACACACACTCACACACACACACACACACACACGGAGGGAGTAAATAGCTGTATTAAATCCTGCAGGAATTTGAATACATTGAGATTCAGCGATGACCATTGAATTAAACATGGATACTGGTATTTGTCAATCTTGATAAAAGGGATTTATGTGGACTGCTAGGGATTTATACCTAATTAGAATATATTGATGAATAAAAGAGAACTAGAGATAGAGGTTTTAGTTAATTATTTCATTAGTTTTGCGTTAAAGGGGATATAGTATAACTTTATTCCAGTTGCCTATTCAGTGACTAAAATCAAGTAACCATTGCATTGTACCTCCAGATTCACATCGGACAGATGAGCTGGTCTGGTGGTTCCAGATGGCTTCCCTCACATACTTAGCAATTTAGCAGGGCTTAAAGAAGATTGAGCTCAGTGGGGTCCCTCTCCCTCTCCTCTCCGTATGGTCTCAGTGTCTCTCAACACAGTCTCTTCAGTTGGACATCCAGGATAGTTGGCTTCAAACTCCAAGAATGTGTATTTCAAGAAACAACAAGAAAAACCGGCCAGTCTTAAGCTCTGAGCTCTGCAACTTGCACAGTGTCACTTATGTGATATGCAATTGGTCAAAGCAAGTACAAAGACTTTCCAGATAAAAGAGGAGGGATCATATACCCCAGCTTTCCATAAGAGGGTAGATTCATCACCCATTGGTTGTATTTGGAGATCTTAAAGGACGTTCGTTCAACATAGGAAACACTCTTTGTGAACATCAATTGTTTCAGTTTGACTCAGACATTCTTAAAGCTCGCTTTCAGCTGCTGAGGAATGCTGATGCAGCCCTTGAGCACAGCCTTACTGACTTCTTCAGCTTGAAGTCTTGCAGTTCCGCTTCTTGTACTTTATATTCCAACATTATTGAAGTATTTTCAGTCCACCAGTCCCTTGCTGCAGACCATGTGCATTTCCCCTATGCCTTTGCATACTTTCCCTAGCCCCATGTGTAGTCTTGCAAATATTATTAATACATTATTTTATAGTCTTAAATTGACTTTTTTGGTAAACGTTTCTTTTTTTTATTTAAAAAAGTGTTTATTCGACTCATCATTCTGCAGGATACACAAGAAGCATGCTGTCAACATCTGCTTTTGATGTGGGCCTCAGGAAGCTTCTACTCATGGTGTAAAGTAATGAGAAGCTGATGTTCCAATATCACATGGTCAGAGGGCAGAAGCAAGAGCGAGGAATGGGAGGTGCCAGAATCTTTTAAACAACCAGCTGTCTCTGGTACTAATAGAGTGAGAACAAACTCCTTTCCCCCACTCCCAGAAAGGGCATTAATCCATTCATGAATGATCCACCCCCATGATGCAAACACATCCCATTAGGTCCCATCTCCAATATTAGGGATCAACTTTCAACATTAGGTTTGGAAGGGATCAACATCCAAACTATACTATATATACATATATTTATATATGTACACATATATAATTATATATACATATATTATATATAAAATATAATAAGCATGGCATATTACCTATGAATAATTATTTACCTTTTTTTCTTTTTTTATTATACTTTAATTTTAGGGTACATGTGCACAACGTTCAGGTTCGTTACATATATATACATGTGCCATGTTGGTGTGCTGCACCCATTAACTCGTCATTTAACATTAAGTATATCTCCAAATGCTAACTCTCCCCCTCCCCCCACCCCACAACAGGCTCCAATGTGTGATGTTCCCCTTCCTGTGTCCATGTGTTCTCGTTTTTCAGTTCCCACCTATGAGTGAGAACATGCGGTGTTTGGTTTTTTGTCCTTGAGATAGTTTGCTGAGGATGATGGTTTCCAGCTTCATCCATGTCCCTACAAAGGACATGTACTCATCATTTTTTATGGCTGCATAGTATTCCATGGCATACATGTGCCACATTTTCTTAATCCAGTCTATTATTGTTGGACATTTGGGTTGGTTCCAAGTCTTTGCTATTGTGAATAGTGCTGCAATAAACGTACATGTGCATGTGTCTTTATAACAGCATGATTTATAATCCTTTGGGTATATACCCAGTAATGGGATTGCTGGGTCAAATGGTATTTCTAGTTCTAGATCCCTGAGGAATCGCCCCACTGCAAATCTAAACCACAATGAGATACCATCTCACACAAGTTAGAATGGTGATCATTAAAAAGTCAGGAAACAACAGGTGCTGGAGAGGATGTGGAGAAATAGGAACACTTTTACACTGTTGGTGGGACTGTAAACTAGTTCAACCATTGTGGAAGCCTTTGTAAACATTTCTTGAGATGACTCTTAGTAGACTTGAATACCCACTACTCTCTCATACACAGTTCATTCTTGTAATTATATTCCTTCACATTTTATACTCCAATATAATTGTACTTTTACACCTTCCCCATTGATGTATCCTTCATAAGATCAGGGACTATGCCTTTTGAATGTTATGTAGTGCCTAACATAGAAATGTGTGTGGAATTAATGAATTGTACTGCTAGATTCATTTCTACATATTTATCTTGATTGCATTTTGAAAGTACAAAGATACCAATATAGTTACTGAAATATTATAGCAAAGAAGATTGCTCCAGGTGAATGGTATAGGTTGTAGTCATTGCTCAGTTATAATGACAATAATTGAGATTAATTTTATTTTCTATATTTTATTTATTGTTATTAGATCATGTTCTTCATAGGTTTCACAGGATAGGGCTTTTCATTTAATTATAATAAACCAATACTTTCAATGCCAAATCCTTTAGTTACATAATATTTTTTAAAAGTAAAATTATATAAAATCATAGCTATGAAAATCCATTTCCAATGTAAGAAAAATTACTGAAAATAATAGTTGGATGGTATCATACCCATACAGCAATGCTAATAAATAATTGCTTTGAGCTCTTTCATCACTCAGCTTAAATAAATCATTTCACATATGTATATATATGGATAAAATTGTTTCTATATTATCTTAATTGTAATTTGTTTTCTTAGACTAAATAGTCTTCAAAAGGGCAATGTAAGATTTGGTAATTTTAAAACTATGAATCTTAGAATCATTAAAAGTGTTCCAGATATTTACATTTACAGCCACTTAAACATACAGTCACTTATAGTCCATAAAAGAACTATGTTTACTGATTCATAATGAGAGCGTCTAGTAGTACAGTAGTGTCTATTTATTCCTATATTTATGGATCCATATTTTAATATTTTAGCAAGAGCTAAGAGGAAAATGAAGGAGGATGCTTTTCCAAGATTTAAATTATGATACTGTTTAAAACAAAAAATAGGTTTCAAGTCATAAGCCCATCCTGGTTTAGTTGGAAATGGGCAATACTCAGTAACACAGTGTATTAGACTTTAATTCATTAAGAAACAAAAATGTGTGTGGGGAGTGAATGTAAACATTTTAATGCATAAAGAAGTGAATGTTGTATTTGATCATATAGTAATTTACTGTCAAATAAGTAAAAGCATGAGTCTTTGCTTTTTGTGTAAATAACTGTCTCAACTAAAACCTGCAAATTTTTAGATTTGGTTAAAAATTTTATTTGTCCTCTTAAAACACAAAACTTTAAAATAAAATAGCTTTACTGCTACTAACATAGTTCTTTGCAAATAATGTGTGCCCAATATATATTTATCAAAAGAACATACTAATCTTTTACTCTCATAAGTATTTAAATCAAAATATTAATATTTTTATACGTGAAGTTGAAACACATATAATTTAGAGAGAAGATCATAATTATTTTTATTGTAGATTGATTAGCCACAGGTATAGCTCTTTACACTCTTAAGTGGTTAGTAGGAAGGTGAAGGTTGGTTGACACCTTTACACACAAGCTATCCAGGCATGAATGGGAATCTTGGGGAAGAAATGAATAATTATTTTACTGCAGTTAAGGTTTGATGAGAGTTCCAAGAGCATTTACTGTATCTTTAAGGCTTCTCTACAGAAAGGAAAAGGTAGACTATGAAAGCGAAGACGTTCTATCTGTTGATATTGTTTTCCTGTTATAATGGTCAAGGAAATATATAGGTAAGTGGTATATTATCACTAAAATATAAAAAATATATTTGATTTAAGCCATTATATATAATTGTCCAAGTTATTCTACAATTTGAAGAAGGAAAAAAAGCTTTGTCACTATCATTTGAGGAATAATTTTTTCTGATATCACTAAGAGGCACATCATTTATTAAATGTCTTCAGATTTTAGCGGTAACACACATCTCACAGGAGAACACTGCTTCAACCCAAAACTGCTAATTTTGAGTAGGGCTCAAAACAAGGAGTGGTGCAGCAGGACTAGACTGTAGCTTAAAGATCCCTGCTACTTAGGTAATGTGACCTGGTAAATCCCATATATTTAGAGTCATCTATACATTAAGCAACCATATGCAGTTTCTAGCAAGTTCTAGTAAGTGATTGTGCATTGCAGACTCCTACAGTTTTGGTGCAAGGCTACTCCATGTGCAGCAGGGATCTATAGCCATTTGAAAAGCAGCTCCTGGAAAGCTACCGAGCTCTAATAGAAAGCAAGCATTTGATCATGGTGCATGAAGTAGCCATGTGACTAGAGTTGAGGCTCCAGAGCTGAGAACTGTAACCCACAAAATCATAAGCTTGAGCTGGCCCAACAATAATCTATTATGCAAGGGGAATGTTGTATTCAAGAATAGAAATGAACAAGTTCACGGTTTATATTCAAGCAGCATAAATAAATGTCTCAACCACCATTTCACCCACCAGAAATGCTCTGGCATCTTCCTGTCAGCTTATACTTACAGTTTCATGGGAGTTCCCTAATCCAGTTGATGGAGGAAGGAAGAAACAAAACAAAAAACAAAAACACAACGATCCTGTTTCATGGTTGGATTAGATTGTTGTATTATACTACTACTGCAATATAATCCCATGTAAAGATGGCCCTCGAAAGAAAGTTGTGAATGGAAATTCTCATGGGCACAGCTTCAGTACACCTGGTCATCAGTTTGGAATGAAGAAACAAGTGACATAGTTATGAATGTATGTAAACTTATGGATGAATTGCGTGGCTAGTTGTCAGTGATTTAGAAAAAATACAAGACTGAAAATTTAGGGCAAAGAGATTGTAAAATAAAACAAATAGCTGGATTTTGGGAGTGGGTATAAAATGTAAAGATCTTTGTATGACACCTTGATGCTCACAAAAACAAGATACTCCAAATGAGTAGATGACAAGAGTGGTAATCAGGTAGAGACCTCTTGCTGATGTCCTCAAGCAATGCAGTGCTTGTGTGATAGAATCATGAATGGAGAGGGCATGGTGGGAAAAATGAAGGCTACTGCATGATTCCAAAAGATTTATTTCCCACTCATCAAGGGATTTATTTATTGCCTCTGTGTGTATCTGATCTGCTGCCGAAAGAAACCAACACTGAACTTTTAATTCTGTCCTTTAAGAGGAGAAACAAGGCATTTGGAAGCAAGTTCATTATATTGGAACCCTCATTCTGAGAAGGTCTCACAAAGTAAGACTGAAACATATTTCCATACTGGTTTGCCTTTCTTGCCCATAGTGCTTTGTCTAGCATCATAACCCAAGGGCTCAAAATGTGCCTCATTTACTGGACTATCACATCATATTGTTCCAAGGTACTCACTTTATGGTAGGTTGAGCACATCACCATGGAATCTACCGGCTCTGCAGCAAACTGTATCAGCCAATGGCTGCTGCCTCAATAGATCATTGGAATTAGTTTTGAAGGTGGCAGATGTGGTGCCAGCATGACAACACCACCAACCAAGCTTGGGTTGATGTTATTTATTATTTTGTGGACACCTTAAATCATTACACTTTATGTGATTCTATGTCCCTCATAGGTAGATCATGTGAATGTGGAATCAAGCAAGTGAAAGTAGTAGTAGACTGTTTATCGTCACTCCTAATGAGTCACTTGGGAGATTCTGATTTCCATTCCTACAGTTTTTGGCTCTGTGGGTCCAGATAGTCTTCTTCCCAATTCTCTCAATAGTGAACAGAGTTAGAGTTCCACTAAATGTAAACATTTAGATACCACCCAGGTTTTTTAGGTCCCTCATGGTGGTAGACATGAAGGCAAAGAAAGTTACAATATCAGCAGTGTCGCTGAACCAATTGTCATGAAGAGACAGAATTGCTAGATCATAATTGACATTCATATTATTCCCTGTGGCATCATGTGGTACTCCCACGTCAAGTGTTAACTGAGAATCAGCAACGTCATTAGTTTGGGTCTATAAAAATACAGCACCTAGACACTCAGATAACTTAGGGAGGAAACTCTTATTAATACCATCAGAAAAGCCTTTTAGACTATTAGACACCCTAGCTGAGGATGAGGTCTCTAGTATGGGTGGTAGAGGAATCAGATAGTAAGCATGATTAATGATGTTAGGAATAACTGCAGAGGTAGAGGGTGGGGTATCATCCATATAAAACTACTCCCTTGTTCCCACCCCAAATTGTAGCCAACTATAAGCTTAAAGAAGCTAGGGTTGAATAAACTTAATGTGAAAAGCAAGAGAATCTCAGCAAGTGTTGAAAGTGTATGGGACACTGAAGGTGTTCAATCCATGTCTCCTTGGATTCCTTTCACCGTGTTTGCATGTCCATTCTGCCCCATCATCAGCTTGTTTTGCTACTATTCACACTGTGATCTCCATACTTTATGGACCCTGGAGCCACCTGGTCCACATGAAGTGACTGAGAGTTTTATATACTCTTCAATGAAATGCCGAAGTGGCCGGTATCCAATGACTGACTGCTAGAGAAATACAAAAAGCCAGTTCTTTTGACTTGAGACATCAAGACAGTCTCCATGAGATAATTCACTTTCCAGAGCTTTATAGAGCAGCTGGCATCACAATTAAACTTACTTTGTTTCTTTCGCCTTCCCTATCCTGCCTCCTCCACTCTCTCACTGGCTTCCCCTGGAGCATTTGCTAAATATAACACTTGCACCTGAAGTCTCGGTGCTCCAAGAGTTCTTCAAGTCTACTCCAAAAAGGCTATTTTTCATGGAGAACTAAATGTAAACCCCAATTGTTTGATTTTTGTCATGGTTAATATCTTGGAATAAAAATTCAGTATATAGAAATCAAAAAATCCTGTAATGCAACACTTTTATTATTCACAAAATGTAACATCAGTGTATGTTTATATGGTTTACTTGTCCAGACCATGTTCTTAATTCTAACCCACAGTACTTGCCCCATGTGTAGAGAGTATAGATCTGTTTCATGATATAAGCAAGAAGGAAAAGAAGATACTCAATGTATATGCCAGTGAATTAATGATAACTTGATTTTTTTCTTGCTAGCATTTTCTTCCTTGACTCAAGAACCTCATATTCAAAAAATTATTATGGAAAATCATATAATATTAAAATCATTGAAATATATAATATTTGTAAGTGACATGTTTTCTCTTCAAGTATTTTTCTAGTGGTATTGATTGTGAAACTGGTTGGCTCTACACACAAAAAACATTGGCAGTGTCTTTATAAGGATAACTAATAAAACAAGGAATTATAAAAATGGATAGAGTTTAATGAGTAAACTTCACTGCGTTTTAAAGTTTTAAGTTTTACTGACAGAAAACTTTGTTTTTAGTTTACCCGCACATCATTTACAAGTGAAAATTCACAATCTTCTTGTTACAGTTTCTCAGAATTATAATAATCTGCAGAATAATTTTTTCACTGAGAAAACTTTTTTACAATTTTTCTTACAAATGATCTCATATATTCACTTATCCTGAAATATCTAATTTGTTCTATAAATTTACCTGCATCTCTACCCTCACCATATATCTTTCTTGATTATCAGACCAAACCCCTCTTACGTGTTCTATTAATTTTCTTCCCTATGTTCTTTTCCAAATAAATCAATCATCCTCTTTCCAGAAAATATATTCTCTGAATAAGAATAGATATTTGGAAAAGGCATATGTAGGTTCTTGAAGAAAGAAGGAAAAATCTTCTGGTATATTTAATATGTGAATCAATCCTCAGGGACAGGGAGTAATAAAGTCATAAAGAGACTATTTTCAGACTTAATCACAGTTTGTATATTTTTCCACCTAAATAGCATTGTAGAGCTAGGATAATATATTTTAAAATACTATGCTGCCTGAAGTAACCACTGAAGTTATCTTTTTATTATTTTTTTAAGTAGAAGAGCCAATCCCCTACAGATATTACAATTAAATACAGCATTTAATAAATATTTAAGTGAATTAATAGATAAATCGCAATTATATAAATAAAATATAAATTTATTATTCTTCACCGACTGTGGTGAACGTTACCTCTCTGCAGTAAGCTCTCAGATTTTAAATTGGTTTTAATACAAAGGGAAAACACTGATAATTGAGGCCAGATGAGGGCCAAGTGATAAAATCAGTTTCAGGTAATAATTAAACAGGTGAAAATTGGGTTGTTAGAAGAAGATTCCTGTTGAGGAGATGTATTTTGACTAGTGTGAAATATATTCATATTAAATATGGTGATTGGGTAAATTACAAAGGCATATCCTAAAATTCAATTCACTTAAGGTGAGACTTGTTTTGAATTCATAATCATTTTTACAGCTATGTCTGCTAAATTAATGGCATTCATTAAAAAAAATGTGAATAAACCCAAGTTTCTTAGAAAAGATACCCATTACAGGATAATCTTGTTAATGTAAGGAAAAAAGTATGAAATCACCATTTTCTACACCATCTTTCAAATACAAAATAGACCATAACTTATACATTACTGTGGTAATATTTTATTTCTTGCCACTAATTGTGTGTTTCGTCAATGTGGGGGAAGGGTTCCCTATGTAAACCTAAATGGCTGAAGGATTTTTCTCAGTAAACCTCAAGATATAACAGGAGTGATAATGGAAAAATAATATTCAGTTGGAAATCTCTGGAGACTCTGCTACATGAGGTATAATTGGACAGGCCCAGCAACCCAGTATACCAATTACCAAATAAAGATATTTAGTCATAAGAAACATGGATACTCCAAATCCATCTTGGGAGTTCAATCAGTAACAACAGGGAGTAGGAATACAGAAAATTGTCTTAATTTCAAAAGTTCTATTGGAGAACAAAACCCCATAATATTCATTACTTAACTCTTTCCATTTGTAGATTTCACTTTTTAAGAACAAAGCATGGGAATGTTGATTTCAAGTAATTTCTTGAATTTATATTATTGTTAAAGCCCTTTGACTTTAAGATGTAAACTTTTCAGAGTCAATATGAAACTGTAATTATGAAAAAAATGCAGTTTAAGACTTTAGAGACAGCTATACTCCCTGCAAATGTGTATTTAAATCTAATCAATAAATATGTAGGATAATCATATTCTAAATACCAACTAATCATTTTGGTCAGCAAATCATAATTTTTAATTTATAGTTACGTTAAACAAATCTAGCATAGTCTTCTTGAAAATATTTTCTCTCAGGCTATGTACAAGATTTTCTTTACCAAATATTATATATTTTCATAAAATATAATACACCTCAACTTACACGCACACATAAATTATTTGGTCTAAGATTTTAAAATGCAATCAATTTTTAAATGTTTAACTCTAGCTAACATTAAATAAATCAAAGCCTAATAATGTAAAAAGTGAGAATCTCTGCAAAATGATGAAAGTATTACAAGAGTGAGCATTTGCTACTTTGAGAATGGGAGCCTGGGATCTAATACTCCCAACTTAAAACATACCGTTATACTCAGTGGCTTTTCTATATATAAGCACTGACCTTTTCTCTATATTGCCTGCTCTCCTGTGGTATAGTGTGAAGTGGTTGGAAAAGAGATGATAATACCAATTCACAACCCTGGAACCCAACTGGGATCAGCTGCTAAAGATATTTCTGATCAAAAATAAAGAAATAACCTGCATCAGTGGGGCTTTTCAGCTTTAACAGCAGGAAAACTCTTCATATCTGTAATCTGTAATATCCACAAAAATAATTGGTTCTGCAATACTCTGACTTAAATGGTGGTTTCAGCAATAAAACATACTACATTCTCATGATTTTATGTTTTTTACTCTTTATGTATTTAGTCTATACTCTGTGAATTTACTTCCACATAGGCTTACTGAGTTTCAAGTAACAAAACGTGCTAAACCTGATGGTGTTCCCTTTAATAGTATTACTCCCCGCAGAAATTTAGTTGTGTACATTTGGCAGTACTAATTATTATTTTTCTCATTCATATAGAAACGATTTTTCCTGTTTGCTTCAACATATTATTTTTATTAAGAACTTTTTTTCTCAAGAAGCAAGGAGAGGATGCATGTATATTGATTTCCAAATCTCCTTAACTATGCTTTGCTTCTTGGCTAGAAAATGACGTGGCAATTCTGACAAATTATTTGCCAGCCCAAAACTGGTTGGATTACAGTGTTAGTGCAAATATTATTAGAACTGCTCCCAAATTTTCTGTCATCTAAGTGAATTCTCACAGGAAACTTCTTCCCCAAAGAACTTACCAAACACTAAAGACTTAAATACTTCCTAACATTTAATACTACTGTTGGGGTTATGTTTGCAGCTCTAGGAAAAATATATTATTCCTCACTCTTTTCTCTTTTTTCTGTCTGTGTTTAACCTTCTTACTGCATTTTTTTTTTTTTAACTTTAAGTTCTGGGACACATGTGCAGAATGTGCAGGTTTGATACATAGGTATACATGTGTCTTGGTGGTTTGCTGCACCTATCAACCCGTCATCTAGGTTTTACGTCCCCCATGTATTCGTTATTTGTCCTAATGCTCTGCCTCCCCTTGTCCCCCACCCCCCAAGAGGCCCAGGTGTGTGATGTTCCCCTCCCTGTGTCTATGTCTATGTGTTGTCATTGTCCAACTCCCACTTATGAGTGAGAACCTGCGGTGTTTGGTTTTCTGTTCCTGTGTTAGTTTGCTGAGAACGATGGTTTCCAGCTTCATCCATGCCCCTGCAAAGAACATGAATTCATTCTTTTTTATGGCGGCATAGTATTCCATGGTGTATATGTGCCACATTTTCTTTATCCATCCTATCATTGTTGGCATTTAGCTCGGTTTCAAGTCTCTGCTATTGTAAATAGTCCGCACTTCTTTTTATAAAGAAAAAACAAAACAAACAAAACGAACAAAAACAAGTAAAACAACAAAGCAACAAGGAAAACCCTCATAGGGTTTTGGGCCAGTTTATGGTCTTCCTCTTCACTGCTTCCTAAATGGGTGCTGGCAGCAGTGTTTATACTTAGAGGCCGACACCTTCCTGTCACAGTAGATTGGAGTAGATAAAGACATTGATCTAAGTTGTTCTTAGCAAATTCTCTCTCACGGAAAGAGTAGTTTCCTTCAAGTAGGGGATATATTATCTGAGCAGATATATTGGAATCTTCGGCCTTGTGAATACAGAAACAGAATAAGCTGGACTTCACAGAAAAAAAGGAATAGACGCAGAAAAGCAGTGAAAAACAACAACAATAATAACAACAAAACAAGCAAGCAAAAAATGAAAAAGAGAATATTACCTACTACTTTCTCAAATTATTTTCCAAACCTTTTGCTTCTTCTCTGGGCCTAGCCACATCCTTGTCCTCAGCATCAAAAGATACTCTTATAGCATAATATTTATTGCATTTGTTCCTTGACTTGTCTTCTATATGCAATCCAAATTCTTACCGCCACTGTGTATTTCTAGGCCAAGGAATAGCCAGATAAATTCTTGACTCCCAAAATTATTAGATTGTGATAATAGAAAATGATCTACTTCCTCAATCTTAGCGTGCTCAAATGTTACAGGAGCCTCATGTTACAGATTGCAGAGGATTGCTGTTGTGGGGAGGTAAATTCTGTGGTTTATGCAAACCACCTTACACAGCACCCATCATGCTTATAAAAATGTCTGTCTTCTTTCCTTCCAAATTTTCTCTGCATTTACTCATCTTTTATGGTCCCCAATAAAACAGCAGTTTTCTCCCTCTTGTATCCTATAGCCAGAGGAGTTTTTGGTTATAGAACTGGGAGACAGTAGAACCAGCATGCATCTTTTTTTATTTTTATTTTTTATTTCATTTTATTTTATTTTTATGAGTCAGGGTCTCACTCTGTTGCCCAGGCTGGAGTGCAGTGGCACAGTCTCTGGTTACTGCAGCTTGGACCTCTTGGGTTCAAGTGATCCCCCTACCTCAGCCTCCAGAGTAGCTGGGCCCACAGGCATGCACCACCACACTTAGCTAACTTTTGTCATTTTTTTTTTTTTTGTAGAGATGGGGTTTTGCCATGTTGATAGGCTGGCCTCAACCTCCTGAGCTCAAGCAATCCAACCACCTTGGCATCCGAAAATGATCGGATTAGAGGCCTGCACCAGCATCATTTTAAAGATTGAAAATAGGAAGCTGACAACTCTGGGCAGCACTTTGGAAGCAGTCGGTTTCCATTAACGAGTTGATTTCCCTTCCCTCATCCCTATCACTCATTTTCTCCCCTTCTTAGGTGTCTTATAGTCTCTGTTGTTTCTTTGTATCTACTCTAGAAAATTCTATCAGGCTGCTGTAAAAGAGGTCTCCATAATGAATATGGCTAGTTTCAGAAAATATACTAAAAAAAAAAGTATAAATATACTGGAGCCCAAATGGGATCAGCTGCTAAAGATATTTCTGATCAAAAATAAAGAAATAATCTGCATCAGTGGGGCTTTTTAGTTTTAACAGCAGGAAACCTCTTCATTTCTGTAATCTGTTATATCCACAAAAATAATTGGTCCTGCAATATCTGCAGTATATTCTTACTTATTAGCCGTTTCTTCATTAGATTTTGTACAACAGAAACAAGAGAAAACTTTACAAAAATTCACCCAAAAAAAGACAAAAGGTAAAAGAAAATACAAACTTAGAACCAAGAAAATGTAAACCAGAATAAAATGAAAGATCAAGAAAAATATATGTAGCAATGTAAAATGAGAAGATGACATATGACACAGTTGAGACTCACATTTGATTCTGAGCCTGATTCTGATTCTGAGCCTCTTAGCCAAGCAA
This sequence comes from Homo sapiens, assembly GCF_000001405.40. Taxonomy (NCBI): domain Eukaryota; kingdom Metazoa; phylum Chordata; class Mammalia; order Primates; family Hominidae; genus Homo; species Homo sapiens. The sequence continues at coordinate 80,189,374 of NC_000003.12, forward strand.
AAAAAAAAATGAGTAATTAAGTGCATGAATTACAGCATATTGTTAACAGATATAATTGATTTTGAGGGGTGTCAGTCAAATTTATATGTTAATGTATTATTTTAGTTTTTAGAATGGTAATATTGAACAATAACGGTTATACTGAAAGATCAATTTCCTATTTATTCCACTCTTCATGTAAGTCATATCAACATATAGAATAGCAACATATTCAAGTTATAGCTTTACCTTTACATCCTTTATATCATCCATGATAAGATACAATTGAAAATATTGTACACGTTTACCCCTTTCAAGATATTTTGCTATTTTCCGCAGAGTTTTCATTGAGGTCAAATCTGTTCCTTCTGACCCTGTGTGTCCTTTTGTTTTCGTTTTATTACAACAACAACCTCCTAAATGCTCTCCTTTCTTCCAGTTCCTTCCCAAAATTGCCAGCAGAATTGCTTTTTTTAAAAAAAAAATCTGGTCGTTCCGCTGGTTAAACTTTTCTGTATGTTATGCATGGCACAAAGTCTAAAATCCTTAGAAATTCATGTAAGCATTTTTCAATATTTCATCCACTGATCCTTTAAAAAAAAAAAGCACAATGTATTATTTTGGTATAAAACATATCACCAGCTGATACACTTACTGCTATGTTGGTTTGCTTCCTTACTGTCTGTTCTCTTTCCCTCACCCACACAAACCCAGAGAAGAATTACTAACAACCAGTACAACATACAGGTTTTTCTCCCACTTTCTGATACTCAGTATGCAAGCACTTTTCCATTAACAGGCAACTTAGTGGAGGGGTATTTGTTGCCTGGTTGGCCATGCAGTTTGGCAATAAGCCCACTACATATTTCCGAGGACTTCTCTGAAATTCCATTACTCAGCCGGCAGGAAGGTCTTTGTCTTCCTTTTTCAGAAAGCCATGAATCTGTCACTTTCATATCCTTGTAATCAGAACTGCCAAGAACTGTGAGTAACTGCAAGAGTCATTGCAAGCTAACAAGTTCGCCTGCCACAGGTTCATGGATGTTGGTAGGAAAACAAACCTCTTGTGTTAAAGACAAAGGATAGTTTGTTAACCTCCTCTCGAACTTCTTATTTTCCTTAATCCTGCCCCTCTTTACACTTTTTCCTCGGGAATATCTTGGATATTTTTGACTTTTGCTCCTAGATTTAAATTTTAGAGACAGCTCATCAATTTACTTGAAAACAATATGCAATAAACAATTCCTTTAAAACCATAGATAAATATAGGGAAAATTGGCATTTTTAACCATATTTAGTTTTTCTAGTAAATAGCTTGATTTGTGTCTCCATTTATTTATGAGTACTTTTATTTCCATCAATAAGTTTTCATGAATAGCCTAAATATCTTTTGTTTGATATATTCTTATTTAACTTTTGTTTTGGCTGCTGTTATATGTGAAACATTTCAACTCTTTATTTCTAGTTTAAAGAGATATCATTTGTTTTGGTTCTTCCTTTTCAAAATTGAAAATTTTTTTAATTTACTTTTCTACCTCAGACTTCTGGCTCTATGAAAATACAGAGCTGTGACTATAGAAATGAGTAGAGGAGAATAAAGATTTATAAGACCTTAAAGCTAAAGGAAGATAGGTAAAATATTTAAGTTCCTTTTTTACACGAATAAATAGATAGTTTTTCATTTTTTAAATTTAAATGATTTTGGTTTTGCTCTTGTCCTAAAACCCATTTTGGTTTATATAAGAGTACAGTTTGTCTTTCTTCATCATACATTTAGGGATTAATATTTTACGATGAGTGGGTATGTGTTTTGTAATTAGAAAACTAATTTTTTTTTGGTCATTCGGAGAACAATGGAAATCATCTTTCAGTGTGCTTGTATTAAACCGTTTTACTCTTCATCATTACTACACACTACACTGATAAACTGTGAAGCTCTAAATTATACAAGATAAATACAATAAGTGTTTGCATTCTTCCTAGAGCCCAGTGTCAGAGCATCTATTTGAAGTTTTCTGTTTTTTTTTTTAATGATGTTGTGATATCCCTAATATTCATTGGTCCAGCCTACACTCAAGGAAAGGAAATTTTTTTCTTATTTTCTGTTAGATGTTTGTAGTATCTTAATTTTATTCCTATAGTAATAATTTGTATCTTCTCTCATTTTTCTTGATCCACTACCCTACTCCTTTTCAAAGGATCAGTATTTTGTGTTATTCTTTTCTTTGTCCTTCTCTTTTATGTTGATATGTGCTCTTATCTTTATTATTTCTTTCATTTTACTTGCTTTTGGTTTAATTTGCTCTTCTTTATACAACCTATTTGTGTATACATCCCACAAGGTAGTTTCAAAATAAACTGCAAAAATTGACAAGCTGGTAAGAAACAGGCAAATCCACAATTTTACTTGGTATTCCAGTGCTGCTATCTCATTGATATTTGAAATAAGTGGACAGAAAATCAATAAAGAAGTAGAAGACTTAAACAATGCTATCAAACTGAGCTAATTAACATATACTGCATGTTCCATACAACTCCAAAACAAGATTTCTGTGAAGTGCTTATGCAGTAGTCACCAAAAGAGACTACATGCTAGGCATAAAAAAAATCTTAACACATACAGAAAGACTGCATTCACAAACAATGTGTTATTTGTCCACAGGCAATTATGTTAGAAGTCAGTAAAACACTGAGATCTGGAAAATCCTCAAATATTCCGAATTTATACAATATAGTTCTACCCATTTGTAGTAGTCCACTAGGGCCGTTACAGACTGGGTGGCTTAACCAACATAAATTTATTTTCTTACAGTTCTGGAGGCTAGAACCCAAGATCTAGCTACTGGCAGAGTTGGTTTCTGGTGAGGATTTTTCCTGGTTTGCAGGTGGCTGTCCTCTTATTATGTCCTCACAGGACCTTTCCTTTGCACATGTGCACCTCTAGCGTTTCTATCTCTAATGAGGACACTAGCCCTATTTAGTTAAAGTCTCACTCTTACAACCCCATTTAACTTCAATTACTTCTTTAAAGGCCCATATCTCCATATACAGTCATCTTGGGAATTCTAGCTTCAACATACGAATTTGGGGTGACATAATTCAATCTATAATACTATAATACCATTGCACTTTTTAATCCTTGAAAATTTTGAATATATTGATAGAAGTTTAAAAAGCTCATACATCCTATGTTTTTCATCTATATAACTTCTTGTAATTTTTTTGACTGAATATCTTTGAACTTTGAAACAGACTGTCTTCTTGGCATGCCAGGAGATTTTTTATTAGAGGCTGAGCACTGTAATATAGAAAATCTATATTTTGATGTCTACCTTTAGTAGAGTGCTGTGCTTTGTTCTAACAGATTGTAAACTTATTATCAACTTTGCTGTCTTTTTAACTAATTGCCAGGGCTATAACTTGTTCTAGAGTAGCCTTACTTCTAGGGAGATTTTCGATATATTATTAAGGTGTGGTGTTTTGAGGTATCCACTTAATTACACATGTTATTAGGGAGAACTTACTATTCTTGTTAGAAAGATCTCAGAAATTTCCAAACTTATCTGAACTTTGTTTACTTGTATTTAATGTGGTCATTTGTTGTCTGGCCTCATAGAATATCTCTCTTTCAGCCGGCTGCACAAGCGTAGCTCAAAAATATTGCAGATTTGGTTTCAGACCACTGCAAGGAAGTAAATATTGCCATAAAGTGAGTCACACAAATTTTTGGTTTCCTAGTACATAAAAAGTTATGTTTACATTATACTATAGTCTACTAGGTATGCAATAGCAAATGTGTAAAGAAAAATGTGCATACTTTAATTAAAAATACTTTATTGCTTAAAACTGTTAACAATCATTTCAGTCTTCAGTGAGTCATAATCTTTTTGTTGCTGAAGAATCTTGTCTTGCAGTTGATGGCTGCTAACTGACTATGGTCGTGGTTGCTGAAGTTTGAGTGGCTTTGGCAATTACTTAAATTAAGACAGAAATAAAATTTGCCACATCCATTGACTTTTCCTTTCACAAAAGATTTCTTTGTGGTATGTGATACTGTTTAACAGCATTTTACTCACAGTAGAACTTCTTTCCAAATTGGGGTCAATCCTCTATGTATCTGTTGCCGCTTTATCAACTAAGTTGATGGAGTGTTTTAAATGCCCTCTCCTCCTGCCTCCATATTTCTTAAGACACAACAATATTGAAAGTATAGGCCAATTAATTTCCCTGCAATGGCCTGTAAGTGTTTAAGCTAAAGGAGTTCTCTCATGTCTCTCACTTTAAATAAAAAGCTAAAAATAATTAAGCTTAATAGAGGAAGGAATGTCAAAAGCTGAGATAGGTCAAATGCTGGATCTCTTGTGCAAAATAGTTAGTCAAATTGTGTATGTGAAGGAAGCAAATTGTGTAAGGAAGCAAAGCAGCCCAATTGCTGATGTGGAAAAAGTGTTAGTCTGGATAGAAGACCAAAACAACCAATAACAACCCCTTAAGGCAAAGCTTAATCCAGAGCATGAAGGCTGAGAGGGGTAAAAAGCTACATAGAAACCCAGCAGAGGTTGGTTTTTGAAGTTGAAGGGAAGAAGCTGTCTCTGTCTCCATAACATAAAAATATAAGATGAAGCAGCAAGCTTCATTTTTGTTGTTGTTGTTGTTGTTGTTGTTGTTGTTGTTGTTGTGAGATGGAGTCTCACTCTCACCCAGGCTGCAGTGCAATGGTATGATCTCAGCTCACTGCAACCTCCGCCTGCCAGGTTGAACTGATTCTCCTGCCTCAGCCCCTAAGTAGCTGGGATTACAGGCGCACACCACCATGCCCAGCTAATTTTTGTATTTTTAGCAGAGATGGGGCTTCACCATGTTGGTCAGGCTGGTCTTGAACTACTGACCTCAGGTGATCCACCCAACTGGGGCTCTCAAAGTGCTGGGATTACAGGCGTGAGCCATCGTGCCTGGCCCAATGAAGCAGCAAGTCCTAAAGTACATGTTGTAGAAAGTTATCCAGAAGATCTAGCTAAGCTCATTGATGAAGACAGCAACACTCAACAACAACTTTTCACTGTATGCTAAATAGCCTTATATTGGCTGGTTGGTGGAGCAGTCAGAACACACACAACATTTATGAATGAAGTTTGCCATCTCATATGGGCATGGTTTGTGATGCCCCAAAACAATTACAATAGTAACGTCAGAGATTACTAATCATCTACTACCATAACAGATATAACAATAATGAAAACAAAAATGAAATATTGCATAGATAATCAAAATGTGACACAGAAACATGAAGGTAATACTTGATTTTGGAAAAATGGCACCAGTAGACTTGCTTATTGCAGGATTGTGCAATGTTTCAGTTTGTTAAAGAAAAAAAAAGACACATCTGCAAAGCACGGTAAAATTAAGCACAATAAAATGAGTTATGCCTGTATTCAGTGAACACGAAAGATGAAGCCAATGCACATTCCTGGGTCTCTTTTTCTGTGTAGATTCCTACTCTTGATTGTTCAGTTTCCAGTTGCCTAGCCTCCTGGAACACTGATATCTGTGTCTTCAATTCAAAAAGATCCTGTAGGACATTTTCATTCTATCCTAAAAAAATTCCTCCAGATAGAAAACGAATATTTTTTAAGCCCACCTTGATTTTCTTCTCACAGAAATCGCAGAACTTCACTGACTTTTGTTCAATGTGTGAAAACAGTTGTGTTGCATAATTTATCCTGTTTTGAACTGATGAATATCCCGGTTACCCAGATTTGATCATATTGTATGCCTGCATCAAGATATCACATTACCTATAAATATGTACAACTATTATGTAAGTATTAGTTCTCTCACTGCTACAAAGAATTGCCATAAACTGGGTAATTTATAGGGAAAAGAAGTTTAATTGACTCACAGTTCCTTATGGCTGATGAGGCCTCAGGAAACTCACAATTATGGTGGAAGGGGAAGCAAGCATGTCTTACATGGCAGCAGGCGAGAGTGAGTGTGTGTGTGAAGCGAATTGGGAAGATCCCCTTATAGAACCATCAGATCTTGTGAGAAGTCACTCAATATCATGAGAACAGCATGGGAGAAACTGCTCCATGAATCAGTCACCTCCCACCAGGTCTCTCCCTCAACAACTGGGGATTACAATTCAAGATGAGATTTGGGTGGGGACACAAAACCTAACCTTATCATGTATGCACAAAAATTAAAAAAACTAAAAAATCCAGTTTTATGTTTATAATTACTGTATAAGGGTGATTCTGGTCATTGTCTCTTTAACATGAACAGAAGCAAAAGTCTCAGACAACTCAACTAAAATAGGAACCGAATATAAAACTTTAGTAAGTAAATTGGATAAAGCAATATAGAAGATAAGAGAGGTTTATTATTATCCCATATGTGCCAGAAGAGAATTAGATAACAATTAAAGAAATATGATTGTGTAAATTGGGGAAGTTCTATGAGGCAAGCAGTTTGATGTAATCCTTTGTTAACTGCAGAATTCAGTCTTCAACTACTTGGCCTTTGTTTGAAGATTCACTTTGAAATATTTACCCCTGAATCTATCATTCTCTTTGATAATCCCCATTTTGATTCTATGTGTTATTCACTTTCAGAACCTTGGAAATAGTCCCTCTCTTTGAATCTAAGCCTTATTCCTATCACCTTTTTAAAATCTGGACTCATATTTGTATTTTAAAAATATAAAAACTGATATCTAAAAATAATATATTTTTCAAAATACATTTTGCATTAGAATTTGACTTACCAAACACATAAGCAAATGGAATTTACTAAAAAAACTTAAAGCTAAATTATAAAAAATAAACCTGTATTTAACTTACCATTTACTATATTTGCAAGTTCCCAGTTTTTTTTTTTTATATATATATATACTTTAAGTTTTAGGGTACATGTGCACAACGTGCAGGTTAGTTACATATGTATACATGTGCCATGCTGGTGTGCTGCACCCATTAACTCGTCATTTAACATTAGGTATATCTCCTAATGCTATTCGTCCTGCCTCCCCCTACCCCACAACAGGCCCCAGTGTGTGATGTTCCCCTTCCTGTGTCCATGTGTTCTCATTGTTCCATTCTCACCTATGAGTGAGAACATGTGGTGTTTGGTTTTTTGTCCTTGAGATAGTTTGCTGAGAATGATGGTTTCCAGCTTCATCCATGTCCCTACAAAGGACATGAACTCATCATTTTTTTATGGCTGCATAGTATTCCATGGTGTATATGTGCCACATTTTCTTAATCCAGTCTATCATTGTTGGACATTTGGGTTGGTTCCAAGTCTTTGCTGTTGTGAATAGTGCCACAATAAACATACTTGTGCATGTGTCTTTATAGCAGCATGATTTATAATCCTTTGGGTATATACCCAGTAATGGGATGGCTGGGTCAAATGGTATTTCTAGTTCTAGATCCCTGAGGAATCGCCACACTGACTTCCACAATGGTTGAACTAGTTTACAGTCCCACCAACAGTGTAAAAGTGTTCCTATTTCTCCACATCCTCTCCAGCACCTGTTGTTTCCTGACTTTTTAATGATCGCCATTCTAACTGCTGTGAGATGGTATCTCATTGCGGTTTGGATTTGCATTTCTCTGATGTCCAGTGATGATGAGCGTTTTTTCATGTGTCTGTTGGCTGCATAAATGTCTTCTTTTGAGAAGTGTCTGTTCATATCCTTTGCCCACTTTTTGATGGGGTTGTTTGTTTTTTTCTTGTAAATTTGTTTGAGTTCATTGTAGATTCTGGATTTTAGCCCTTTGTCAGATGACTAGATTGCAAAAATTTTCTCCCATTCTGTAGGTTGCCTGTTCACTCTGATTGATGGTAGTTTCTTTTGCTGTGCAGAAGCTCTTTAGTTTAATTAGATCCCATTTGTCAATTTTGGCTTTTGTTGCCATTGTTTTTGGTGTTTCAGACATGAACAGACAAACAGAAAGCCAAATCATGAGTGAACTCCCATTCACAATTGCTTCAAAGAGAATAAAATATCTAGGAATCCAACTTACAAGGGATGTGAACGACCTCTTCAAGGAGAACTACAAACCACTGCTCAATGAAATAAAAAAGGATACAAACAAATAGAAGAACATTCCATGCTCATGGGTAGGAAGAATCAATATTGTGAAAATGGCCATACTGCCCAAGGTAATTTATAGATTCAATGCCATCCCCATCAAGCTACCAATGACCAATTCTTCACAGAATTGGGAAAAACTACTTTAAAGTTCATATGGAACCAAAAAAGAGCCCGCATCACCAAGTCAATCCTAAGCCAAAAGAACAAAGCTGGAGGCATCACGCTACCTGACTTCAAACTATGCTACAAGGCTACAGTAACCAAAACAGCATGGTACTGGTACCAAAACAGAGCTATAGACCAATGGAACAGAACAGAGCCCTCAGAAATAATGCCGCATATCTACAACCATCTGATCTTTGATAAACATGACAAAAACAAGAAATGGGGAAAGCATTCTCTATTTAATAAATGAGTGCTGGGAAAACTGGATAGCCATATGTAGAAAGCTGAAACTGGATCCCTTCCTAACACCTAATACAAAAATTAATTCAAGATGGATGAAAGACTTAAATGTTAGACCAAAATCATAAAAACCCTAGAAGAAAACCTAGCTAATACCATTCAGGACATAGGCATGTGCAAGGACTTCATGCCTAAAAGTTCCCAGTTTTGACTACAGTTAAGTCATAAGGGGAAATATCGCATAGACCATCTTCTATAACTGCCTATTAGAATTTTTTACATATATACATTCTTTAGTTTAAAAAGCTTAAACATTAACAATATATTACTCTGGAAATTCACCTTTCATAACAATTGAATTTTAAAATAATATTAAAATTATATGCACATTTTAATTTTGATTTTATCCATGTTTATCATAGTGTGTATTAGTCAACATTCCAGGCCATTTTTTTTTGTATATTTAAAATTTTTATTTGCTGGATTTTCGAATGGTTTGACTCAGACATGCAATGCATATGTAGACTTAACATTGTTGCAGTAACTTTCATTTATTAATATATTCATATAAAAAAAACTATAAGCTGCTTTAAAATATAGTGTTTTTACTTGTGCATGCTTACAACTGTAGTTGAACTGCAGCCATTTTATACTGCTGAGATTAAAATTATGAGATAATCAATAATTTATATTCTATTCTGAATAATACTACTATTTTTTCAGTTAACTCTGAAACAGAAACATTCAAAAGTGAGTATTTTTGGAGAAGATTTGAGATATTCTAAATTTCAAGATGGTAAGGAGTGGGTTATCTTCATATTAACATTGAAGGTGTATGTAACACTTCACTTATTTTATTTGATTTTTTTTTGCAGTGTTGTTTCTTATCATCCACCATGACTGAAGTTACACTTGAGCACTATATTGTATGATTGACACTTGAAACATGGAAATGGCACACCTAAATTACAAAAAAGCAGAAATAAAACATGTGATTGGATCTTTCATTGAACAAAACCAAAAAGTAAATTAAAAGAAAATAAAATGAAAACAATTAGCCATAGACTTTAGGATTAGATTTAAAATATGTATTTACATGTTCAAGGAAAATAATGCCAGATTATTATATTCAACACATTCAATATTGCCCCTCCCTTTTTTTTTTTTTGCTTTGTGTTAAGCAGTGTTGAGTTAAATTAAATTTGGTCTAAATCTGCATCCATATGTAGTAAACTCCACCCTAAGTTAGTATGTAAGCAAACTACTACTTAAGAAGATATTCTGGTTAACAGATAGTTGAATCTCAGATGACCACAGCAGCCAAGCTTTAGCCAATCACAGACTGGCAGCTGATCAGACAGTGTCCATGTAAGGCAAATGCACAATCACATCATGCTCAAATAAAGCAAATACTGAGCTGTATCAAATCAAGCTGTTTCTGTGTTACTTCCTTTTTCTATCTATAAATGATTTCTGCTCAAAATGCTATATGGAATGCTGTGAACCTCTACTGGTACAGGATACTGCCTACTTTATGAATTTTTTTTTGCTCAAATAAATTCTGCTAAATTTAATTTTTCTAAAGTTTTTCTTTAAAAATGTTGACATAAGGTGTGGGATCTAAAGTAGACCTGCAGCAATCACCAGGACTGCCCAGTGCGTCAGCAATGGTATCCAAGAGGCCCGTCATGCCCATTGCTCTCTTGCAGCACCTGGATGGTGTGGGCGACTTTTCTCTCAGATTTGAGCTCTATACATTTGTGTTTCAAGCATGTTTAATCTAGGGATAGTTCTAATGTCACGACAGAAACAAAACTGGTTCCTGTAGGGCGGCATCAGATGTCTGACTGAGACTCAGGGTTCAGTAGGTAAATAAGGTTACTAGAAGACAAGGCATCATGCATTCATCTTAATCAAAAGGTTCTATATCTCCGCCACCTGGAACAGTAGTCAATTTTATGTATAAGAACTGTAGACCCAGAACTTACTCTTTTCTAGAGAAAAGATACCAAAGATAACTTACAGTTACTGTGGCGGTAGTGAAGAAGCTCTTTACAAAAGGCAAACGGGTACAAGTCTTGATAGCTACAGCTGCTACACAGACCACGAGACTTTTCTGAACATATTTTATACTCAAATCAAGGGGCCCCAAAATAAAGAACAGTGTGTCATGAGATGTTTGCCTTTATTATAAACAACTAAGCCACCAGAAAAACAATTGTCCACTTTTACACCAGCCATCTGGTGGACCCAATCCCTTTGGCTGGGACTATTTTCTCACTAGAGAAAGCCCCCAGAGCCTTACCTTCTGGGACAATAATCAACAAATCTTTCAGAGAGAAAAATTAATATTTATTTGGTGGGAGATCAAGTCGAGTCTAAAACGTTCCAACGTTTAAATCTGTCTAATAAATGCTTGGAACATTTTTAGAAAAATATTTATAAGAAATTGTATCTTGGTCTTTGAGGAATTACCACCCACTTTCCGCAATGGTTTAACTAATTTACACTCCCGACAACAGTGTATAAGTGTTTCTGTGTCTCCACAACCTCACTAACATCTGTTTTTTATCTTTTAATAATCGCCATTCTGACTGGTGTGTGATGGCATCTCATTGTGGTTTTGATTTGCAATTCAATTTTTTTTTTTTTTTTTTTTTTTTTTTTTTTTTTTGAGATGGAGTTTCGCTCTGTCCCCCAGGCTGGAGTGCAGGGGCACGATCTCGGCTCACTGCAAGCTCCACCTCCCGGGTTCACGCCACTCTCCTGCCTCAGCCTCCCGAGTAGCTGGGACTACAGGCGCCCGCCACCATGCCAGGCTAATTTTTGTATTGTTACTAGAGAGGGGGTTTCACTGTGTTAGCCAGGATGGTCTTGATCTCCTGACCTCGTGATCCACCCATCTCTGCCTCCCAAAGTGCTGGGATTACAGGCGTGAGCCCGCGCCCAGCCTTGAACCTTTTTTTATATGCTTGTTGACGGAATGCATATATTCTTTTGAAAAGGGTCTACCAGTGTACTTTCCCCACTTTTTATGTGGTCGTTTTTTTTTTCTTGTACATTTGTTTAAGTTCTTATAGATGCTGGATATTAGACCTTCATCAGACACATAGCTTGCAAAAATTTTCTCCCATTCTGTAGGTTGTCTGCTCACTTTAATGATAGTTTCTGTTACTGTGCAGAAGCTTTTCAGTTTAATTAGATTACATTTGTCAATTTTTGTTTTTGTTGAAATTGCTTTTGGTACCTTCATCATGAAGTCTTTGCCTGTGCCTGTGCCCTGAATAGTATTGCATAAGCTGTCTTCCAGGGTTTTTATAGTTTTGGGTTTTACCTTTAAGTCTTGAATCAATCTTAAGTTAATATGGTGTAATGAGGGGGTCCAGTTTCAGTCTTCCTCATACAGCTAGTCAGTTATCACAGCACCATTTATTGAATAGGAAATCCTTTCCTTGTTGCTTGCTTTTGTCAGGTTTGTCAATGATCAGATAGTTGTAGGTGTGCGGTCTTATTTCTGGGTTCTCTATTGTGTTCCCCCAGTCTGTCTGTTTTTTTACCAGCACCGTGCTGTTTTGGTTACAGTGGCCCTGTAGTATAGTTTGAAGTTGGGTACCCTGATGCCTTCAGCTTTGTTTTTTGTTTATGATTGCCTTGGTCATTAAACCTGGAAATCCCATTACTGGTTATATACCCAAAGGAATGTAAATCATTCTGTTATAAAGATGCATGCCCATGTATGTTCATTGCAGAACTATTCACAATAGCAAAGAAATGGAATCAACCTAAATGCTCATCAATAATAGGCTGGATAAAGAAAATGTGGTACATATACACCACGGAATACTATGCAGCCATAAAAAAATTATGTCCTTTGCAGGGAAATGGATGAAGCTGGAGGCCATTATCCTTAGCAAACTAAAAGAGGAACAGAAAACCAAATATCACATGTTCTCACATATGAGTGGGAGCTAAATGATGAGAACACATAGAGAGAAACGACACTCACTGGGGTCTATCGGAGGGTGGAGAGTGGAAAGAGAAAGAGGATGAGGAAAAATAACTAATGTGTACTAGGCTTAATACCTGGGTGATGAAATAATCTGTACAACAAATCCCCATGACACAAGTTTATCTATGTAACAAACATGCACATGTACCTTTGAACTTAAAAGTTAAAAGTATAAAAAATCAAGCAAAATGGCAGTGAGGGGAAAAGGAGAAAGGACAAATTGTGGGCACCAAAGAATCCCTTGGTATTATATCCACAACCATATCAATGAATAAAATATATGCAATTTAAAAAAATTGTCCTCTCTGGTTTCTATATTCAATTCTATTTCTCACATGAGGATCTTCCAGTTAACTGAAATCCCTGTTATGATCTCCCTGCTGACTATATACCCTGCTAACTCTGTCCACCTCTTCCTTGTTGTCATGATCTTTGCTATGTTGCAAAACTCTTTCTCGGAAACAAAACAAACTAACAAACTGATAGATCTGGCATTAAATCTTCAACACAACAAAACTAAACAAGAGTAACCAGTCTCTGACCATAAGGCAAAATCATTATTCACTCTGAGTCCAGTGTTCAACACTGAGTACAGTATTACTGTACCTGGATGATGACTAAAACTTTAGAATAAAATGCTATAAGATCTATTTCTGTCTGTATGTTTATGTATGTTTGTGTATGTTATGTGTATCTATAAATATTTTTTGTCTTATGATATTAGAAATATTAAATTATAAAAGTACTCTTATTTGTTTAAAGAAGACTAAGTGCTTATATAAATTATTTTTTCAGATAAATAAGTACCAACCCAAATGCTTTTCAAGTTTATGTGATTTCAGTAATGTTTGGTAAAGAAGAATATTGTTGGTTTGACTAAAACTGACATATTTCAGGGTTGTCAACATTAAATATAATGCAGATGCATGAATTTTCCTTAGATTTATTGGCAAAATAAGCTTATGTTATCTCTATATTAAAAAAAATTGTCAGCAAAAATAATATAAGATGGTTGCTAGCTGTTTAATGTCTCATCCTCACGAGTAACCCAAATCTAATAAAAACAAGTAAGTTAAGTAGATGTAAGTAAAATAAAATTTCTATTTGAAACATGTTGTTTCTCTTCCAGAATATTTTAACTTTATTTTTGCCAAGAATACAAAGCTGAGGCTGAGGAAAATCTATATGAAAAACAATTTCCAGGCATAGCAAAACAAACCAAAACAAGAACAAAATAGCATGCAGGCATGCGCACACCCACCCACCCACCCACTCACCCACACACACACACACTCACACACACAAACACCTAAGAAGACAGGGAAATTTTTTTGCCTCTTATTATTTCTTATTACAGAGAAACTAAAGATATTTGGGACTGTTAGTAAACATGTTCTGTGTCACATTGGCAATTGTACTATGAGAAAGCAGCAGATGCTTCTAGAAGTAATTCATAGATTTGCCAGATTGGTGGTGTAACAAACAGTTCATAATTGCTTACTTCCTATTGTTCACTGAGAATTAAGGTCACCTAAGGGTTACAAATTCTTATTAATACATATTATTAAAATTACTAGAAATAATAAGGGAGACGAGTCTACATGTAAATATACGAAGAGGGTAAGATATGCTGTTGATACAGAGAAGTTATAAAACATAAGCATATTTCATTTTATTTATCAAGGGTAAAAGAGAATAGTTTTTTTCTAAAATAGAGTAATTCCTTGTTCCAAAATGAGGAGAGAAATAGTATAGGACTAAATACTATAAATACAAAAAAGCTATAAGTTTGTAGAATATGAATCTTGTGACAAATTTTATGTGCGGTCAAGCTGGCTAAGAATACAAGGGAATTACAGATGGTTCTCAATTTACAATGGTTTGAATAATTTTCTGACTTTATGATAGGTTTACTGAGACATAATCCCATTGTAAGTCGAGGAGCTCCTTTTGACTTATGATAACAGCTCTTGCTGAATGCGTATCGTTTTCACACCATCATAGAACGGAAAAATCGTAAGTTGAACCATCATAAGTCAGAGACTGTCTGCTGTGTTGCCAGCATTAAACGCCTTTTTGACTTATAATATGTTCAAACAATGACGGGCTTATTGAGATATAACCCCATCATAAATCAAGGAGATTGTGCATTTTTAAGTGTTTTTTTTAAAATAAACATTAATATCAAAAGTACACTCATGCATAACTAGAATTTGGTTCACTCGGTTAAAATAACAAGAATATCATGGAGAACTGGTCTACAACTCTTGACAGAAGATTGTAATTTTAAAAAATTATTTAGCTAATTGGCAAAGCAAACAAAGATTCTGTGTTTTACTAAGATAATTTCTTGTGTTTAATGTGGTCTTTATTAAGCTTTTGATCACCTAAGAAAACTGAGTCTTTTCTATTAAAAGAGTGATATTATTCTAAAAATATGTAACTTCCTGCATTTGCCCTTGAAGTCTTTTTAATTATCACTCTCGTTAAATAAATGATCATCTTTCACAATGACCTGCAATCCTATTTTGATCATGTGTTTTAAACACTTGATTTTTTTTTTACAAATGTCCCTAAATCAAATTCTAAATTTAGTATTTTTCTTGACCTTGAATTAACTTTGACATTTTCCAAATAGGACTTTAAAACATTTCAAAAGGGTATCTCTTCTTACATATTAAAAAGAGAGATTAAACTAATTGGGTGTATTTGACATAATAAATTATATGGGAAGGATTGTCAAATAATGAGTAATGCTAAATCAGCTTTGAGTTAATTTGTATGGATGTCTTATTAATATATGTTCCAGGCCGGGTGTGGTGGCTCATGCCTGTAATCCCAGCGCTTTGGGAGGCTGAGGCGGGCACATCACCTGAGGTCTGGAATTCGAGACCAGCTTGGCCAACATGGTGAAACCCCGTCTCTACTAAAAATACAAAAATTAGCCAGGCGTGGTGGCGGGTGCCTGTAATCCCAACTACTCGGGAGGCTGAGGCAGGAGAATCGCTTCAACCCAGAGGCGGAGGTTGCAGTGAGCTGAGATCATGCCACTGAGTTCCATCCTGGACAATAGACAGAGACCCAATCTCTCTCTCTCTATATATATATGTATATATATAGAGAGAGAGACAGAGAGAGATATATAGATTTATAGATATATAGAGATATACATATATAGATATATATACAAATATATAGATCTATAGATATATAGATATAGAGAGAGTATATATATAGAGAGTATATATATATATATATATATATATAGAGAGAGAGAGAGAGAGAGAGAGAGAGAGAGACTATATACTCCAGAGGATTGTATGAAATTCGTAGAAATATGACCATACTATTAGACTAGGTAAGAATTCCCAGAACACTAATGGATAAACTATAAATAAAAATTCCCAGAAGGCTAATGAAGAAATGAAACGCTAATGAAGAATTCCCAAAACAATAATGAAGAATTCCCAGAAAGCTAATGAAGAAATGGTTTCATAAAACTGCTAATCCAGCATCAAGTATGACAAGAATTGTTTGAATAACAAAGACATGCTTTGGCAGATTTTCATGCTAAGTCACTCGATACTGAAATTATTAAGATATGCAGTTTGAATGAACTCCATTAGATTCACTCAAGGAAATTACCCAGATTAACCTGTTTATTAATTTTCTCTTTATAATTTTTATTGAGGCGTAACAAATGCACATAGTTTCAGGGTAGATATGATAATTTGATACATTTGAATAATTTGTAAAGATGAAAACAGTGTCCTTGAGATATTCATCACCTTAAATATTTGCATTTTCTTTATGGTAGAAACATTGAAATTTTTCTTCTCTAGCTACTGTGAAATGTACAATCGATTATTGTAAGGTATTGTCTCCCTACTAACTAAACGGTATAATTTTACCCAATAATCAACTTCTTTTCTTCCTTCTGTCCGCTAGCCTTTCTAGACTGTGGACACCACCAGTCTACACTCTATCTTCATGAGATCCACACTTTTAGCTCCCACCTATGTGGGCAAACATATGATATCTGTCCTTCTGTTCATAGCTTATTATACTTAATGACATCCAGTTCTATTCTTGTTGTTTCAAATGACAGGATTTTATTCTTTTTATGGCTGAATAATATTCCATTGTGTATATATTCCACATTTTCTTCATCTATTCATCTGATGATAGACACTTAGGTTTATTCTGTATTATGCCTGTTTTGAATAGTGCGGCAATAAACATGAGAGTGTATCTACCTCTGTGATATGACATACTGATTTGCTTTCTTTTGGATATATACCCATCAGTGAGATTGTTGGATCATATGGTAGTTCTATTTCTCATTTGTTAAGAACCTCAATGTTTTTATTCATAGTGGCCATAACTACTTTATATTCCCACCAGCAGTATATGAGGGTTCCTCCTTCACAGCCTCACCAGCATCTGATTACATGTGGTTTTTTTTAATATAAAATCTATTTTAACTGGGATGGAGATAACATCTAATTGTGGTTTTGATGTGTGCTTCTCTGAGGGTTAGTGATGTTGAGCTTTTCTTTCACATCTCTTTTGGACATTTCTTTGCCTTCTTTTGAGAAATATCTATTCAGGAATTTTGCCCATTGTTTAATTTATTTATTTTTTGCTATTGAGTTTTTTGAGCTCCTTATATATTTTCATTATCAACCCCCTGTCAGATGGATAGATTGAAAATATTTTTTCCCATTCGTGGGTTGTCTTTTCACTTTCTTGTTTCCTTTCCTGTGGAGAAGTTTCTTAACTTGATGTAATTTGTCTATTTTTGCTTTGATTGCCTATGTTTCTGAGGACTTACATTAAAAAATCTTTGCACAGACCAATATCCAGGAACATTTCCCCAATGTTTTCTTATAGTAGTTTCATAGATTCAGGTCTTAGATTCAAGTCTCTAATCTATTTTGATTAGATTTTTGTGTATGGTGAGAGACGGTCTAGTTTTATTATTTTGCATATAGTTATTCAGTTTTTCCAGCACCATTTATTGAAGAGACTACTTTTTCCAATTTGTATTCTTGTTGCCTTTGCTGAAAATGAGTAGGCTGTAAATGTGAGGGTTTATTTCTGGGTTCTCTGTTCAGTTTAATTGACCTTTGTGTCTGTTTTTATGTCAGTATCATGCTGATTTTGTTATTTTTGCTTTGTAATAAATTTTAAACTCAGGTAGTGTGATACCTCCAGCTTTGTTCTTTTTGCTCAGGACAGCTTTGGCTATTCTGGGTCTTTTTTGGTTCTATATCAATTTTAGACTTTTTTTATATCTCTGTGAAGAATGCCATTGGTATTTTTATAGGGATTGCATTGAATGTATATGTTGCTTTGGATAGTATTGTCATTTTAACAACATTAATTATTTCAATTTATGAGCATGGAATAGCTTTGCATTTTTTTGTATTCTCTTCCATTTCTTTCATCAATTGAAAGCAAATCAATTGATGTTTTATAGTCATTGTTGCATAGATATTTCATTTTGGGGTTAAATTGATTCCTAGGTATTTTATATTCTTTGCAGCTACTGTAAATGGGATTGCTTTCTTGATTTCATTTTCAGATTTTTCACTACTGGCATTTATAAATATTACTAATTTTTGTATGTTATTTTTCCATCCTGCAGTTCTAACAGATTTTATTTTATTTTTTTTTTTTGGTGGAGTTGTCAGGTTTTTCTGTCTAAGGTCATGAAATCTGAAAACAAGGGTATTTTGACTTTTATTTTCCAATTTGAATGCCCTTTATTTATTGATCTCACTTAATTGCACTGGCCAGGACTTCTAATATTATGTTCAATAAAAGCAGTGAAAGAAGGCATCCTTGTCTTGTTCCAGATCTTAGAGAAAAGGTCTTATTTGATGTGACTACATCTAAAAGGACATGGATTTAGAAGCTAATTGGAAATTAGACCAAAGAGACAGAAAATATAAAGATTACAATTATCTTTGTATACTACGCTGTTAGAATTTAATTTGAAATGAAATGAGGTTGTTTTGTTTTCAGTAATAGCATCATAGATTTGAATTTCAGAAAGACAACTTTGACAAATAATAGAATCTGAGACCATGTGATTGAAACCTGAGAGGTGTTATTTACTTTATTTTATTTTACAACACAAAAGCAAAATCACAAACCAATGAAATGGTAATAGGAGTGAAAGAGTCAGACTTGAACTGGACTGGAAGGAAAGAAAAGGGAGTAAAGGCACACATTTCTAAAACGTCCTTCTTTAGGCAATGTTTACAATCATATGTAAACATAAAGAGGGATGAGAATAAGATAGAAGTGTGTCAGAGAACTCAGAGAGGAAAGCAATCTCTGGCAACTAGAGAAAGTAGTTAAAGAATGAAATTTTACTACGCTAATTCCACGATCACCCACTGTGTCCTTGCTACAGCTTGCACCAAGTTCTATCTCTATGATCACTCACATAATGTTAGAATCTGGTTATTATTCTGGAAGATAGAGGAAAATTTAGTGGTCATTTGTTACCTAATGTTAAAAAGAAAAATTAAAAAGAAAGAGAAATATTTCTAATTAACTGAAAAGACGTACATTGGAGAAGATACATGGTATTTGACCTTTTGCCCATCTTTGATTTCAACAATTCAGATGAACCCTATCCAATGGTTTTGTGTCACAAACTGACTTATACTAAAGGGAGGAAATGAATTAAAACCCCTCTAGTGACTATGAATTGTTAGGGTTTTTATTTATTAGCTCACATTTTTGACTTCCAAGATTAAATCTCATAACTCATCCTCAGATTATTTTAGAATAGTTAGAAACACATTAATATAAATAATAGCAGAGAATTGGCTAGGAAAGTTTTATTCTTAGAAAACCAATGAACACTTATCAAGATGTAATATTTCCGAAGATCTCACCGATCTAATATAATAATTATAAATATTTGGTTTTAAAAATTAAATATGTCTGCTAATAATATCTGTGTCACTCAGAACACCAGGGCAACATGATAGTAAACGTTCTGTGGGATTTTTAATAGAAACCAAACAATTTCCCCCTTTATTATCAAAACAGAGAGGCCAGTTTCTACTGAGGAAAAAAAAATAAACTCAAACTCATAATTTTGCAGAGAGATTTCCTTAATGAATCCTGCTATATTCTTAGTTTTTCTGTACAATATCAGCTTCTTGACATTTGTGTTTAGTATGTCCTGTTATACCTGAGGTATTTTGTGGTCTTACCCTATGCCATTTAATGAATACTATGTTGTTACCAACGATTTAATGAGAAATTGTCACTTGAATTTGCTTTATTCTTCCCTAGAGGCCCTC
Source organism: Homo sapiens (assembly GCF_000001405.40). Taxonomy (NCBI): domain Eukaryota; kingdom Metazoa; phylum Chordata; class Mammalia; order Primates; family Hominidae; genus Homo; species Homo sapiens. The sequence goes on from NC_000003.12 coordinate 80,209,193, forward strand.
ATAAAATATTATCTGAGTGTTTCTTAATAAATATTTGTAAGGGGAGAGGAGATCAAAGGACACTCTAGTGCAACATAATGATTCTCTCACCTCTACCAGCTCTGGGAAACAGCCATTCAATGCTGGTATTAGTTTTCTATTGTTGTCTTAATGAAATGTCACAAACTTGTTTGCTTACAAAAGCAGTCCGTTACGTTTGTGGATGTCAGAAGTTCTGTACTGGTCTAAGCAGACTAAACTCAAGATTGCAATAAGCTTCATTTCTTTCTTCTTTTTATTTTACTTTATTTATTTATTTATTTTTATTTTTATTTTTTTATTTTTTCTTTTTTTTATTATACTTTAAGTTTTAGGGTACATGTGCACAACGTGCAGGTTTGTTACATATGCATATATGTGCCATGTTGGTGTGCTGTACCCATTAACTCGTCATTTAACATTAGATATATCTCCTAATGCTATCCCTCCCCACTCCCCCCACCCCACAACAGGCCCCGGTGTGTGATGTTCCCCTTCCTGTGTCCATGTGTTCTCATTGTTCAATCCCCACCTGTGAGTGAGAACATGCGGTGTTTGGTTTTTTTGTCCTTGCGATAGTTTGCTGAGAATGATGCTTTCCAGCTTCATCGATGTCCCTACAAAGGACATGAACTCATTTTTTATGGCTGCATAGTATTCCATGGTGTATATGTGCTACATTTTCTTAATCCAGTCTATCATTGTTGGACATTTGGGTTGGTTCCAAGTCTTTGCTATTGTGAATAGACTGTGGCAAAATTTAGTTCCCTGTAGTTGTAGGACTAAGGCACTGAATTTCTGGCTAGCTGGAAGCTGAGAGATTTTCTAGCTTCTAGATGTCACATGTTTTCTTGGCTCATAGCCCTCTTCCAACTTCATAGCCCTCTTCTTCTTCATAGCCAGTAATAATAGGTAAAGTCCTTCTCACATCACATCTCTGAGTAACTTCTGCCTTTCTCTTTCTCGGTTTTGTTGTTGTTGTTGTTGTTGTTTGTTTGTTTGTTTTTGACGGTGTCTCCCTCCATCGCCAAGCTGGAGTGCAGTGGTGCAATCTCAGCTCACTGCAACCTCCGCCTCTTGGGTTCAAGTGATTCTCCTGCCTCAGCCTCCCGAGTTGTTGGGACTACAAGCACGCGCCAACACGCCCAGCTAATTTCTGTATTTTTAGGAGAGACGGGGTTTCCCATGTTCGCCAGGATGATCTCGATCTCTTGACCTCATGATCCGCGCATCTCGTCCTCCCAAAATGCTGGGATTACAGACGTGAGCCCTGCCTTTCTCTTTCTTGCTGTAGAAGTTAATATATTCAAGGCGTGCTATCAGTGGGCAAAGATTATGGAGACCAAAACCCTGCCTACCACACATTTTCTACCTCTATTCTAGCTGTCTCTTCTATGAACACTTACTGCATTGAAGGACATCCACATATATAATATTCAATTCTCTTGTAATTATACTATATTTTCTCAATAAATCCATATAAGAAAATACATTTACACACATATTTTTCAAGGCCCAATGCAAAGCCTACTTTTTTTTTTTACAAAAAAAACCTTTTTTATTTCTAATTGTAAGCAATACTGCTGTCTCCTAACTTCCTTATTGGAAAGTAGGATGGATAGGACAATTAGGAAAGGGACTGAGATTTATTTAGTGCCTATGCTATGCCAGGTGCTTTAAACGCGTTTGTTGTACACATCTATCCAATGAAGTTAGCCTTATTAATCTTAGTTAATGGGTGAGAAGCTTGTCCCAGAGAGGGTCATTCCCTTCCCAATACCACATGGCTTATAAATGAAAGTAAGATATAACTGCTGATCTAGTTGCTTCTAAAACATCTGTGTTCTTCCCACTGCCTTAGTGCACTTTGTACTTTTATTACATACCTTATCAGGGAACATATATTTTAAGATCCCACATGTCGATAACCCCTCCCATTAAAAAAATGTAAGCCTTCATTCCACATATTACAAGAAGCACGCTGCCTTCTCTGCAATTTTGGAATGATGTTCTGCTACCTCCTCTACATGTGTTAGCTCACATGGAGCTCATGCCACGTGTTACCAGCCCTTAGCAGCCCCAATTCGAGTGTAAACTCATATTGGTATTTTAGGAAATAGCTCATATCTGCTGCTGTTTTGAATGTACAGCAGCTTTCTTCTCCACTGTCACCTATGCCTTATCCATCCTCCTTAAATCCTGCAGCTGCTGTATGCTCTCTTCACTACTTCAGCACATGCCAGGTGCTATTTCCATAATTTTGCAAAACACGAGAGAGTCATGATTACTGTATTTAACATGCTTCCCTTAAAGTTTAAGATAAATAGGGAAACATCTCAGAAAAGCACAGCCAGGAAAGGAAATAGGAGACATGGCCATGGCCATTCTTAAGGGTTCCTTAGTCGTCTCTGTCATCATACATTTCGCACTTGCTGTGTACCAACTTGAGCCCAATATACTGTCAAGCAGCTGAGAGTCTGATTCACTCTCCACAGATCCTCCCTCCAAACCCCAATTATCTCTCTCCTTCACCCTTAAAGCCTTGTGTTTTATACTAGTCATGGAAAAAATGAAACATCGAGTTCATTCATTATTTAAGCATTGAATTTTGGGGGTATGTGAAAAACATTCCCATCCTATTCCCAGTAGGGAGATGGGCAAAAGGGAGCATACTATACTAAAGTAAAAAGATCCACTAAGGTGTTTTCTAAAATAAAAGAGCCAGTTACTTTTAATACAAGTTGTATACCCCACCTGCTAAGAGTTGAGTGCTCTGTGGTTTTACCAAATGATTTCAGGATTCATGACTTATTTAACTGCGCCTCCTTCATCAAACTACTTACTTTAACTGCAACGCCTTGTTTATTATTATTATTATTATTGTACTTTAAGTTTTAGGGTACATGTGCACAACGTGCAGGTTTGTTGCATATGTATACATGTGCCATGATGGTGTGCTGCACCCAGTAACTCGCCTTGTTTTATTTCTAACATTTTGTTAATACTTGCAATGAGGAGAATAGGTTTTTGAAAATATACTTGCTTTCATGTTGTCATCATGAATATAAAATGTATGTGTGTGTGTGCACGTGCATGAGCCCACATGAGTACACACAAGTATTTCCACAATAGAATGGGGGCACTTAACTTTTGGGACAGTATTTTACTCTTATTGGCTTTGTACATGCTAGTTATTTGGCCAGTGCTTTGCATGCTGTAATTTTAGAATGATCAGCACGTAAAACATTCTCTTGATAGTTTGCTCCCTAAACCACCTGGGGAAAGACAGAGTTGAGTGCCCTGTGGTTTTACCAAATGATTTCAGGATTCATGACTTGTTTAACTGTGCCTCTTTCATCAAACTACTCACTTTAACTGCAACGCCTTGTTTTATTTCCAACCTTTTGTTAATACTTAAGATGCCGTTATATTACAAAATAAAAGATTTTTGGCAAAAATAAATTAGTCCCAATAGGTATTCTATTTTAAATGGACTTTACATGTTACGTATGGATTAGATTTTTTCACGTAAAAGTAGCATATGCTCTAAGATATATATTCTTGAAAAAAAAGATTTCATTAAGAATATCTGGACATATTTAGTCACAGCTCTAACAACGAAAAAACAGGTTAATTATTTAAAGGTTGCTATGGTTCATTTTTTTGAGTGTATTCCTAATGATGCCTGAGGAAGTAAAAAATCTAACCAGTAATTAAAACCTACACAAAATTAATTCTCTCCAAGCTCTCCATACACCATGATTCTAAGAATTGAGGAAAACATGAACATTATATCAGCAAGTCATTTAATTTCTTTTTGTCTTGTAGATAAGAAGTTGATGTAAGGTATTTATAAAAAATTATATGTGAACCCATTTAATATCCTCAGATTTACAGATTTTAGCTAGAATTGTTTTGACTTAGGCAATTTGCCATGATTATGTTGCCTCTATAATGCTTACAAAGATGGCGAATACCTCAAATGAATTTGGAAACCATTGCACATAGCAATTGTAAAGCTGATGTACTTACATGTCTTTGGAAAACTGCCAAAGCATTGGGCAAGCAAACTGCCAAATATGTGCATAGGGCATTCGTGAATGACAAACTAAAGTGCGTATGAGTATGTGAAAACAGGTGGTCTGGGATGCCTGGATCAGCAAAGCATCTGGGCCCTGAAATGTGACTGCATTATATTTTCTACTCCCAATGGAGAACAATTCTAATCATAAACATAAAGGCTGGCAGTGTTTAGAGTCCTTTTGTTTGGCAACGTTTGCAAGGTGATAGAATAGAAGTGGAACCAGGCTATTAATATTTGAAAATTCTAAATCTCACCCATAACTGCTTTCAATCATATCTATTCTTATGCTGTTAGCAACACTAGATGCGTATATATTAATACAGCTGCCCAATTCAGCTGTTTTTCACTTTTGAAGATGCACATACACTAAATAGATGGGATGGTTTTCTGTCTTTATTGTCTACTTAACCAATTGTACCTTATCAATGTTACTGAATAAATGCTAATTATAAAATAATACTTTTGTCTTGATTTCTCCATTTTTAGCTCTTCAATTTAAGGAGGTAGGGCTCCAAAACATCTTCCTAAACTATACTTTCTAAATTAACTGCTATGCATCCTCTACATCCAGCAAAACACTCTTTCAACATAAGTTGGGAGACTACTAAATGTAAGTTTGGGCTGAACTAGAACAAATATTAAAAGTAAGTTTGGGCAGAACTAGAAAAAATTTCAATTATAATTAATTCAATTATATATTTATATTCAATTACAATAAAAATGACTAAAACTAAAAGCAATTGGAAGGGACATGTTTATTTGCCTAATGTGTAGTACAAACCACTTTTTAACAATGTTATATTTTAGTGATTCTCAGCACTGAGCAAATTTTATCACCATGGCAGGAGAGAATGGGTCTTAAAAATATTGAAGCTTAATATCCACATGTCCATGACTAAATTGATCTAATTGATCTGAGGCAGGGTCCATATTTCGCTACTTTTTAAAGCTTTCCTAGTGATTATAATGTGCATCTAGTATTAAAAATCATTGCTACATCTGAAGTTCTAATTCAAACTACTTTAATATCCAATTATTCTGCCCCATAGAATATTTGTAACATCCTTCTCTTGTTATTTCTCTGGACTCGGTCAAAGTGTCTTTCTTATTCTATGTCCTATTGAATTGAAGGGAAATTTAATTTTTTTAAAGTACTGATTTGGAAACACATGATCATTAATTGGTTTGGTGCCTTAAATGGTGAGAAGTGGATGGAAAATCTCCTATCTTATGCCTCGCACCCGTTGCTTTGTTATTTGATGAACTAAATTGAAATGCAAAACCATTTTTCCTTGTAGCTCTAATTTTAAATTGATTAAAAATGTTTCACTTTTTAGCCTGGCATTTCACAATCAGAAAATTGAATAGAAATTCAGAAAGGGCTTTTAGTGTAAAAAAACTTCTAAACCTCATTTGTAAACAACTTGAGTGTCAACGTTGTTTCCTGGTTGGTGTTACTGCTATATATTTACCTTACATTACTATAATTCATTGTGTGTAATATATTAATAAGTGGCTTTATGTAGTAGATTCTAGGGAACATAAAGTCAAAGAAATTCGAAAAGCTATATAGCAATATTACATATGTGTTTTACCAACTCCCTACAATGGCCTGTAGTTTGTTTTTTTAATTATCTCAATGTGCATACATACTCTGATACATCATAGACAGATATTTTTAACAAAATTACCTACAACAATAAAATTGCCACTTAAAATTATAATTATCTATCTCTATTGTCTGTAGATAACACTACAAAATAACAGCCCCCAAAAAACTATATCAATATTACAACTCAGCATTGTGATTTTCCTAAAGATTTTCTTCACCTCTCATTTTACTTATCCATTTTCCCTTCTCTTTCCTCCCTTCCTTTCTTTCTTCCTTCTTTCCCTTCTTCCTTTATTGACTATCTACTCCTTCCTTAAAAAAAATAAGACAGGGTATGCAGTAAAGAAAAAGTGAACAAGGACATTTTCACCTTCTAGAATTACTTTTCTGTCTTCTCTAGTTCTCATGCGATCTTCTCCCCACTTTGCACATTTCATGCGCATTACATTGGGTCCTGACTGGGTAATTCCCACTGGCATCCTATTGTGCAGACTTGCTTAGGCTATTCATTGTTATCCACTGTGCCCTAAGAAAACAGCTAATGTGCTCATACTGTCCATCTCAAAACATTCTTGTGCCACTATATATTTCCTTGGTGGTCTGCTAGATGTCTAGTGAGTCCAAATAATTCACAGTGTTCATAGTAAAAAATGACTTATGACAAAAAATGTTTTTCTTGGTCATAAAATTGTAAGACTTCAGAAAAACGGCTGCAGCAGTTAGAGGATGATAGAAACTAGCTAGAAGCCCAGTCTGGTGCCAGAAGCTTTGTGTGCTATCACATAGCAGGACATTATTCTCAGTTTTGTGGGTCCCAAAATTGAGATTATTAGTTCATCCAGAGTTGGATAAGTTAAGCTACTTGTAGTATCACAAATTATAAGAGATTTATAAATGAATGAATATACAGAGTAAATTTTTCAAGTTTATTTTATATTATTATTACTATTATTATATATTGCTTATTAACACCATAAGATTTGAGTTATATACAGGAACTATTTTATTGAACACTGTATTCTTAATACCTAGACTAATGCCTGGCACATATATTAGGCCTCCATGAATATCTGGTATAAAAATACATTTATAAAATAAAAAGATTATACTGTAATTTTCTCCTTAATTCCTACATCGTCCTTCAGGCTACAAATTCTATGAGGACAGAAACTATATTATTTACCTATGTTGTGTTGAGTTCTAACACAATGGATTGGCTAATCAATACCTGAATGTGCCTTTTTTTCTACAGAAAATTAGAGTTTAAATAATAGTAATGCTGCCCATGGATGCTGCCAAGGAAGAATCGTAAAAGTCTCTCTTCCCCGCAGTCATGGTTAAGTCAGAGCCTCTTAAAGAGTCAGAACAGCTGCGGAAGCTCTTCATTGGAGGGTTCAGCTTTTAAACAACTGATAGTAGTGTGAGGAGCCATTTTGAGCAATGGGGAAGGCTCAGGGACTGTGTGGTAATGAGAGATGCAAACACCAAGTGCTGTGGGGACTGTGGGTTTGTCACATATGCCACTGTGGAGAAGGTGGATGCACCCATGGATGCAAAGCCACACAAGGTGGATAGAAGAGTTGTGGAACCAGAGAGCTATCTCAAGAGAAGATTCTCAAAAACCAGTTGGCCACTTAACTGCGAAAAAGATATTTGTTGGTGGCATTAAAGAAGACACTGAAGAATATTACCTAAGAGATTATTTTGAACAGTATGGAAGAACTGAAGTGATTGAAATCATGATGGACCAAGGCAGTGGCAAGAAAAGGAGCTTTGACTGTGTGACCATTGATCACTGTGATTCAGTGGGTAAGACTGTCATTCAGAAATACCATACTGTGATTGGCCACAACTGTGAAGTTAGGAAAACCTGTCAAAGAAAGAGAAGGGTAGTGCTTCATCCAGCCAAAGAGGTCGAAGTGGTTCTGGAAACGTTGGTGGTGGTTGTGGAAGTGGTTTTGGTGGGAATGACAACTTTGGTCGTGGAGGAAACTTTAGTGGTCATGGTGGCTTTGGTGGCAGCCATGGTGGTAGTGAATATGGTGGCAGTGGGGATGGCTATAATGGATTTGGTAATGATTGTGGTTAGGGAGGAGGCGGCCCTGGTTAGTCTGGAGGAAGCAAAGGCTATAGAAGTGGTGGACAGGGTTACGGAAACCAGGACAGTGGTTATGGCGGGAGTGGCAGCTATGACAGCTATAACAATCGAGGTGGAGGCAGCTTTGGTGGTGTTAGTGGAAGCAATTTTGGAGGTGGTGGAAGCTACAATGATTTTGGCAATTACAACAATCAGTCTTCAAATTTTGGACTCATGAAAGAGGAAATTTTGAAGACGGAATCTCTGACCCCTATGGTGGTGAAGGCCAATACTTTGCCAAACCATGAAACCAAGGTGGCTATGATGGTTCCAGTAGCATCAGTAGCTATGACAGTAGCAGAAAATTTTAATTACTGCCAGGAAACAAAGATGAAACAAAACTTAGCAGGAGAGGAGAGCCAGAGAAGTGACAGGGAAGCTACAGGTTACAACAGATTTGTGAACTAAGCCAAGCATACTGGTGGCAGGGCCTAGCTGCTACAAAGAAGACATGTTTTAGACAAATACTCAGGTTTATGGGGAAAAAAACTCGAGGATTATATTTGTGACTAATTATAGAACAGGCTATTTTAGTTCTCGTTCTGTGGAAAGTGTAAAGCATTCCAACAAAGGGTTTTAATGTAGTTTTTTTTTTTTGCACCCACACTGTTGATTGCTAAATGTAATAGTCTGATCATGATGCTGAACAAATGCGTCTTTTTTAAAATAAAAAAAGTAGTAATGATAGTAATGACGGTGATGATGATGATGATGATGACACCAACAGGAAAAACAGATTATATGTGATCACATTAAAAGAATCAGTTAACCATTACACAAACATTCATTGTCTACCATACAACAGGCACTGATCTGGGCACACTGGGAAAAATGCAGTAACTATGAAAAGTCCATGTCCAACGTAAATTATGTTCTGTAAGGAGAAGACAGTCAATAAATAACAAGTCAATGAATAATTCAGACAGTTTAGAATACTGAAATCTGTTATGAAGATTGCATGGCAGTGAGTGAGTGTGAAGGTGGTCTTGATTAAGTGAATGACTGGGCAGGGGAACATGGGAGGCAGCATTTTAGTTAAACTCAGTAGGGATGACCTCTCTGAAGATGGTACATTTCAGTTATGAAGAGAACAGCCAGGAGAACATCTGAGAGAAGGACATTCCAAGTAGAAGAAGCAACAAACATGAATGCCCTGAGATGAGATAAAGATAAGTGTGACTAGAACACAGTTACTGAGGAGGAGAGCAGAAGTACAGGCAGATCAAGTAAGGGCATTTGAAAGTCTATGATAAGGCTTGTTGATTTTATTAAGCATAATAGAAAGTGGTTGGAAAGGCTTTAATCAAGAGAGTTAGAATATTATACTTGATCTTTTGAAAGATTATGCTGGGTGCTTTGGGGAGAACAGATTGATGGGGGAAGGATTAGAGGCAAAATGATCAATTTCAAACTTGCTGCAGGTTTTTCAGTGAAAGATAAGGTGGCTTAGACTAATAATAGACATGGTAAGAACTGGGTGGATTTGTGATAGAAATTTATATGTTGAGAAAATAGGAATGGCTGATGGGGTTAATGTTAGGTGTGGAGAAAAGTTGTCAGGAAATGTATGCCATTGCTATGTAATGGTTAAGGAGGGATTGAGATGGTTGGAAAACCATTTTAAGTGTTCGATTTTGGCCGTGTTGAGTTGAAAGTGCCATTACAAATCAAAGCGGATTTGTCAAGAAGGCAGCTTTGGTGTTCAGAGAAAGTGCCATATTGAAAAAATACAAATTTAAGATTTACTCATATATAAATGTTATTAATATCATATAATTGACTAGTAGTGCCTAGTGAGGGCAAAATGATTTAGAACATTGCCTCATTTAAAAGTTTGATATAGAAAGAGAATCCAACAAAGGAGATTGAGAAGCAGCAGGAGTGATGTAGAAGAAAAACTATGATGCCATAGAAATCTAAAGAAGAAAGTGTTTCAAGTAGAAAAGAGGGCTAAATGCTGTTGAGAATTTGGTAAGATGGAGACAGAATAGATGTCGATGCAAACTATTTTACTGCAGTAGAAGCATAGGTGTCTTGCAGTCTTTAGAGGTGATAATGGCAGACATGGATGTACAAACAACCGTATTTGAAGAAGTATTGCTGGGTAGTAATGTAGGAGAATGATGTAGTAGCTGGTAGAACAATGAAAGATTTGTTAAAAATGATTTGATACATTAAACCTGTTTTTATTCTGATAGGAATGACTCAGTAAATGGCAGGAAGTGAAGAAGCAAGAGAAACAAAAGTGTGACAGCTACATCTTTGAGAAGGCAAAACTTGTTGGCACCAGGGCTTCAGTGCCAGAGTGGCCAATTAAAATTCCTTTATTATTTCAATGGGAAGAACAGGGTATCTAAGTACAGATGTAAGTGAGATGGTAAAATTGATAAAGGACAGATTTTTTTTCTTTAGTAGCAGTTATTTTTATATATGAAATATTTGGTAAAGTCATCATCAAAGAACGAAGAGTCTTTAGGGGATGTTGGAGAAAGAAGAGGAGGTTTGAAATTATATTAGAAAAACTGATATTACTGAAGGAATATAAAAAGATTGCTTAGAAGTTTTGAGTACTTTTTGAAGTTTGTCTTCTTAATATTTAAGAAAATCCATTCAGTATATTTATGTCACTTTTTTTAGCAATATTCAGCTTTGCAGCTGCAGCCAAGAAGTCCATAAACATTTAGTTATAGTCAGGGCTGAGATTTGCTAGGAAAGTCAAAGAGTGAGAGAAAGAGAAAGAAAAGCTAAAAGCATAGTCATTAATGAAAAAGATAGGCAAGATTTATATCAAAGTTTATGGATTTGGATTTTTGAGAGTACAAGTGAAAAATTCAGCACTGAAGTAATAATAAGTAATAAGTGCTATTCTGTCCCCTTGAGTGTCTGAGCTGTGTGAGGGGTGTGTGTGTGTGTGTGTGTGAGGTGTGTGTGTGTGTTTCTGTTAATGGCCATTACCTGAAAGGGCTGTAGAAGAAAGTATTCACAAGAGATGGCAAATGTCAGTTGGAAGCACAAAGGTAAAAAAAAAGTTTTTAAAATATTTAAATATATAGAGTGGCTATTGTTGATTGTATGTAAGTTTTTAGTGGCATAGAAAAATATTTAAAAATGTAGAAGGAGAATGGAAAATGAGCTCAGAATAATAAATATGAGCAAAGCACAAATACAATCATCTTTTGATGACGGGCAATCTGATGGTGACTAAAATGGACTAGGCTGTGAGGCATTATGGGATTGTTTGTAGAGAGCAGGCCTTCTAAAGTCTTGCTTCTACAAATAGGATTCAAATAGCCTCAATATCTTCAGCTGATCGAAAGGGGCTGGTGGTGTACCTTTGAGCATGGCATGATATAATTTGTATTAATTTAATATTAATGCTTATTGTAACTCCTCTTATCATTACCTATTTATAATATAAATACACCTACATCCCTACCTCTGAGCTTTATATATAAAGAAGACCACTGAGATAAATGTAGTGTTTAGTTTAGGTAAAAAAAACAGATATTAAAAGCCACAGAATAAAGAGCTGAATTAGACAAGGGTACCTTTAACTGGGTAATAACAATAAAATTGTGTGCCACACAAAGTGTAACATATTTTAAAACATGTATGCATCATTTTGCCTAATTTACATCTTATGCAAAAATTACTTTCACATATTGTTTATGAGAAACTATTTTTAAAAGCTTATGCTGAGACTTCCTTCTTCATATTTTCATAAATTTTTTTATTATTTTGCATTAGAACCATAGCTAAAATTTTAATCTTCATTGTAGCAGTAATAAAAGAGCATAACTGAAATTCATTTTAACTATAAATGATAATTCTCTAATAAATGTTAAATTTCAATGTCATGGTAGAAAAGTTATCATTGTTTATTACATGAAGAATTTAAATTTTACTAATGCCACAATTTTCCTGCTAATTCATTGTTTTCTTAATAGCACATAATTGTTTGAATACAATTTGATGTCTCCTCATAAAAGAAAAGGCATTGTGAAGGAGCACATTCAATTACAACTAAAAAGTGTAGTTAAATGAAAAAGAGATTTGAAAATAACATTAATGTACGTGAATGTAATCCATTAATCACTCCATTATGGAGTGATCAATTTGGCAAATACATTTCAGTATAAAGAAACATACATGGAGAAAGTATACATCAAAATGATTCAGAAATTATGATCATGTAAAAGTATTCATTGTCCTGTGATTTAATAATTTTATAAACACCAATTAGAAAGCATATGGAAATAGTGAAGTCTTAAAGTCTACATAATGACACTGTCTTCCTTCCAAGAGAGCATTGCTGAATAGCTGCATGATAAATTCTGACAAGAGAATGTCCATTTCAAATGTACCACTTTCAGTCAGCTATTTAATACTATTCCTACCTTTCTATTCTTTGTGGTCTTCCACTCATTTAGGTAATTGTTGAGCATATACCATGCATGTATGATTACAGATTACAATAAGTTCGAAAGACAAAGTGAAGATTGAAATTAGAGACTATCATAGAAATACCTAATCCACTTTTGGCACTCGGAATCAATTTCTTTGAATAAGTGACATTATACCAATGTCTACAGGATGTAGAACAATTGTGCAGAAAAAATATGGGAAAATAGCATGTTGTATATAGAGATAATGTGCCAAAGATGATAATCAGTTAATTTATAGACCGGAATTCTGAAGACAGTATGCTTTTCATAAAATTAAATATATATGTGTATATATATGAACTAGATTTTTCCAGTGTGTTGTAAAAAATGCTTATCTATAGCCGAGTGATTTTGAAAAACTTTAATCCGATGATTGACAAATAATTCAAAACTACATTTGACTACTTTCAAAAAAAAATTTTTTTTTTTTTTTTGAGACGGAGTGTCTCTGTCGCCCAGGCTGGAGTGCAGTGGCGCGATCTCGGATCACAGAAAGCTCCACCTCCCGGGTTCACGCACTTCCAAACATTTTAAGGCTTTGATATTTTCTAAATAAGACATAAACCCAACCTTGTGTATTCTACTGATGTAAAATTTTAATTATTCCTACAGAAAACTATTCAAAGCTGAACATTTAAAGTGCTTTTCCTTTCACTTCTGTGGCCTATTTTCTTTTACTGTGTATGCAAACATTAAAACATAGGCACTTTTATGTACTAATAGTTCTATAGCTTGTTAACAAAAACTATATGCTTTGACTTAGTGCTTTTTCTATATTTCTCTTTCTTCTATAATTAGGGGTTGTTTTTTGTTTACTTGGTTAAATGGGTGCTAGCAGAGCATAGTAACTTGTTTTTTGATTTAAAGAAAATCATTAATCCAACCAATACTGACGATTCACAGTCTAATCTGATTCATTAGTGTTTCTAGCTCTTGATTTCTCAGGGGAACCAACATTCCTTTTAACACGCTTCTGCCACACTTTCCAGTTACATCAGGTGGGACGTGAATCTAATGGACTTATTTCATTTACACTTTTTCATTATTGAAAAAAAAAAATGATTTGCTAAATGGTCTCTAACGACCTGAAAGAGCTAATTCCACTTCCCAAAACGCCTAACTTTAACTGAGGGACAATCCATGTAAGGCTAAATTGCCATTATGTCTAGCTGTAATTATTACACTGAGAAATCTTTGATCCTAAAAGTATGGAGCCCAGAAGTATCTTTCTTAGTTGAAAATTACTTCATAATGCAAACACCAGTCAGACCCACCATATTTTTTAGCTATACTCTTAAGCATGTATGATCTTCTTCATACATGAAATTACATAAACATAAAAATAACCAATTATTTTAATTCTCCATCAATTAATATTTTCACAATGTTTTGCTCTTATAAGTTAGAAAGAATGAATAATACCTACTATTTGATAGCACAACAGAGTGACCATAGTCAATAATTGTACATTTCAAAATAACTTAAAGAGTGTAATTGGGTTGTTTGTAACTCAAAGAATCAATGCTTGAGGGGATGGATACCCCATTTTCCACGAGGCGCTTATTTCACATTGCATACCTGTGTCAAAACATCTCAAGTACCCCGTAAATATATACACTTACTATGTAATCAAAAAATTAAAAAATAAAAGAAATATAAAAAGTTTAATGTAATGAACATATAAAAAATGCTTAGTCCAAAGAATAACACCTTTCATTTAGGTAAAATGGAGCAATACAAATAGTAAATTAGCAAGTTTACAATTTAGGTGCCAAATTCTATTTTTGCCTATAAAATTATATTTCCTAATAAAATATTTAGATAATACTTCATTTTTTTGTTTTGTGTTTCCCTATATAAATTATATTAGGGTGTTTTATCCTAAAACATAAGTTCTGAAGCTTCTGAGATGATTTGGTAAGCCATTTTAACACTCTTGGATGCTAAGGATGTATTCTCATTTTGTTTAACATAAGGAGGTAAGGGCAGTTCTGACAACATTATGTAGTGAAAACACATGTGAAAGAGTTAGATGCTCTTATTTTAGTACAAACAACCTCTTTAATTCCTCAATTTTGACCCTAGACATACTCATATTAGCAGGTTGTACATCATGGAACATACTTTTCTAGCAGTCAATAAAATGAATGTGGTGGTTAAACTTATATGTCAACTTGACTGGGTTCAAGGGTACCCAGAAAACTGATGAAACATTATTACCCTGATAAAAATAGGAGTGCAGATATCTATTCATGATAGCAAATATATGGAAACAAACTATATGATTTGATATATATATAATATATTTTACATATATAGTTATATATACATTTGTTACATATGTAATATAGATGCATGTAATATATGTACATACACAATTGAATACTATACAGTCATTTTTAAGAAATTAAATCATGTCTTTTGCAGCAACATGGATGGAATTAGAGGCCATTATCTTAAATGAAACAGCACAGAAACAGCAAGTCAAATACCACATATTCTTACTTATAAGTGGGGGCTAAAGAATGTGTAAACATGAACGTAGTGTGGAGTAATAGTCATTGATGACTTGGAAGGGTGGGAGGGATGAGAAATGACTTAATGGGTACAATGTACATTATTCAGGTAATGGTTACACTGGAAGCCCAGACTTACCACTATGTAACAAAATCACATTTGCAGCCCTTCAATTTACACAACAACAACAGAACATTATTTCTTTTATGTCTGTGAGGATATTTCCAGAAGACATTAGTATTTTAATCAGTAGACTGAGTAAAGAAGTTTTTTCTTCCACCACCACTACCAGTGTGAGCAGACATTATTCAATGTGTAGAAAGCTGAATAGAACAAAAAAGCAGAGGGAAGACTGGATTTTTTTCTCTCTTCTTGGCTAGGAGACTTCCCTTTTCTCCTCCCTTTGGACATCGAAGCTCCTGTTTCTTGGGCCTTTGGATTCAGAACTTACCTCTTCACTTCTCCTGGTTCTTAGTCCTTCTGCCTAGGACTGAGTTGCCTACACCATTATTGGGTCCCGTGGTTCTTTTGGACTCAGAGTCAGTTAAGTAAGACCGAATTTAGGAAATTTTAAACTATGTTAGTCTTTGTCCTACAAGGATCGTGTTTTTGCAGTTAAGTGGTGTAATCTGATTGCATATGTAAGCACCACTTCTGATTGCAGAGTAGAGAGAAGATTAGAGATGGTGACAGTTAACCTGGGAATTAGCGAAAAGGGAAGAGCAGTAGTGCATAGGAGAGGTGATCGTGGTTTGGACTTGAATGCTATCTGGAGAAATGCTGAGGAGGTGATAAATTTGAGACATATTGTAGAAAATAAAATGAATAAAATTTGGTGCTATAATTTATTTGGCAGTTGAAAGACATGGAATTTTCAAAGATTTGTCTTGTATATTTGATAATTTTTGAGGAAAAAAGGTGTTAGGCAAGCAAAGGATAGTCAGGAAAATACAAATTTAGTTTTATACACATTAAATTTTAGGCACTTTTACGTTAACATAGATATACGCATGGAACTGAAAGAAAATATTTGGCCCGAGTATATAAATAGGTGAGTAATTTGTATAAAGATGAAATTATACAATATGGATGTGGGTAAGATTTAATCAAAAGGGAAAAGAAAGGAGATTAATGTCTAGTACCTGGTCTTGAGAAACTCTACCTTAAAAATAATTGATGGGCCGGGTGGGGTGGCTCACGCCTGTAATCTCAGCACTTTGGGAGGCAGAGGTGGGAGGATCACCTGAGGTAAGGAGTTCAAGACCAGCCTGACCAACATGGTTGATCATGCTACTAAAAATACAGAAATAGCTGGGCGTGGTGGCGCATGCCTGCAATCCCAGGTACCCCGGAAGCTGAGGCAGGAGAATTGCTTGAACCCGGGAGGCAGAGATTGCAGTGAGCCGAGATCATGCCATTGCACTCCAGCCTGAGCAACAAGAGCGAAACTCCATCTCAGAAAGAAAAAAAAAAATGGTGGAAAATAATAAATTGAACAAATACAATAGAGAGGTAAGACACTATAGCAAAATAGGTTCACAAACAACAAACAAGCATAAAAAAAAAAAAGACATAACCAAAACAGCAACAAAGAGGGTACTATAGCTTCATGAAAATAAAATGAAAGAACATTGCTGGAAAGAAAGAGTGATTAACAGAACTGAATAATGCTTTGAGATTATGCAAGAAAAACGTGGAAAAATCCTAATTGAATTAAGAAATTTAGAGGTATTGAGGTTATTAATAAAGCAATCTTATATGGTCTTAATCTTTGTGTCTGCCTAAAATTCATAAATTGAAATTCTAACCCCTAATTTGATGGTATTAAGAGGTAGGGCCTATTGAGAGGTAATTAGGACATAAGGGTAGAGCCTTCATGAATTGGATTAGTACTTCTATAAAATAGGCCCAAGGTAGCTCACCTATCCCTTCCACCATGGGAGGACACAGTGAGAAGGCGTCATTCAATGAATCGGAATGTGAACCTTTCCCAGACACAAAATCTGTCAGCACTTGATCTGAAGACCACCCAGCCTTTAGAATTTTGAGAAATCAATGTCTGTAGTTTGTGAGCTACCCAACTGATGGTATTTGGTGATAGCAGCCAAAATGGATTAAGATACAATCAAAAGTTCTTTCGGTAGTGTGATAGTTTTATGTGCAAATGTGGCCAGACTAGTATCTTCTTATTAAATGAAACACTAATCTAATTGTTGCTGTGAAGGTATTTTGTAGATATCATTAAAACCCCATTAGCTGACTCTTAATAAAGGAGATTATTCTCAATCATGTGGATGAACCTCAACAAATCAGTTAAAAGACTCACTTGGAGGCAAACACTGAGGTTTTCTTGAGGAAGAAGAAATTCTGCCTGAATACTGCAGCATTAACCGTTTCTCAAAAGTTGCATCGCTACTGGTCTATCCTCAAAACTTTGGGCTTACTAGCCCTAACTTTTTCTCTCACTTACTCTCTCTCTCTTTCTGTGTATATATATACACACACACACACACACACACACACACACACACACCCAGATTGTATATATACAGTCATGTGGTATATAAGGGACATTTGCTTGAGTAATGAATGACATATATGCTAGTGGTACCAGGGGATTGTAATGGAGCGGGAGAGTTCCTGTCACCTTCTGATATCATAGCTGTCATAAATTTGTAGTGCAACACATTACTCATGTTTGTGATGAGGCTGGTGTAAACAAACCTAATGTGCTGCCAGTCACGTAAAAGTCTAGCACATATAATTATGTACAGTACATAATCATTGATAATGGTAATAAACTATTATCTAACTGGTTTATGTATTTATTATACTATACTTTTTATAGTTAGTTTAGAGCGTACTCCTTCTACTTATAGAAGCAAAGTTACCTGTCAATGAGCTTTGGGCAGGTCCTTTAGGAGGTATTCCTGAAGAAGGTATTGTTATTGTAGGAGGCGACATCTCCATGGGTCTTATTGCTCCTGAAAACCTTCCAGTGGGACAAGATGTGGAGGTAAAGGACAGTGATATTGATGATCCTAATTTCCTGTTGGCCTAGGTTACTGTGTGGGTTCACGTTTTGGTTTTCAACAACAAAATATCTTTAAAAAACTGTAATGACTTAGAAAGTAGAAAAAAGCTTGTGGAATAAAGATATAGTGGAAGCTAATATCTTTGCATAGCTGTACGTTGTGTTTGTGTTTGATATTGTGTTATTACAGAGTCAAAAAGTTAAAAAATAGACATTTCTAAAATAAAAAAGTGACAGCTAAGATGAATTTATCATGTAAAAAATAAATTTAAAAAATAAATCTAGTGTAACCTAAGTGTGCAGTGTTGATATGGTCTGCAGTGGTGTACACTAATGACCTAGGCCTTCACATTCACTCACCACTCACTTACTGACTCACCCAGAGCAACTTTCAGTCCTGAAAGCTCCATTCGTGGTGAGTGCTGTATATAGGTGTATCATTTTTTTTTTTAGTCTATTGCAACTTACTTTCACTGTATCTTTTCTATGCTTAGGTTTAGATACACATGTTTAAATACACAAATTCTTGCCATTGTGTTACAATTGCCTACAGCATTCAGTGCAATAACATGCTGTACAGATTTGTAGCCTGTGAGCAATAGGCTATACCGTATAACCTAGATGTATAGCATGCTATACTATTTGGAGTTGTGTAAATACACTATGAATTTTACACAATGACTACATGACCTAAGAACTCATTGTTCAGAATCTACTTCTGTTAAGTAACACATGACTCTATGTGTGTATACAGACACAGACACACACACACACACACATACACACACACACACACACAGAGAAAGGATCAGTGATGAGATATAGGTACTTTGAGTGGAAGCCAGACTGGAGTGAGAGAAAGAGAGAATATGTAGAATATTCCTTTGGAATTTGATTCTGAAGGGCAAGAAAAGCTGCATAATAGCTGGATAGAAAATGGAATTAAATGCTAAATGAAAGGCTGCAATAGAAAGTGAAAGGTTGGATATGCACATTACAGAAAAAAATTGATAATATATTTGATGCAAGAAGGTTGCATGGATGGTAGTCATTGTTCTTAAATGACGATTGTGAAAACTTAGATGTAGGTATTTTGATGTCTAGTTATAATAACTAGAATCTGTGTGTATCCAGTCTGATGGTGGTTTGAGTTTCTTTTGTGAAGTAGCCTGTGAAAATATCCATTTAAAGTGAGGACATGTAATGTTGGAAAGAGGGAATTACAGGTCTGAGAATAAGAGAAAATTTAGAATATAAATTTAGGTTGAATTTCAAGCATAAACATGGCTATGTATGTCAGTATTTTCCCTCTTTTAATGAAAATTCTTTAAAACAAAGACAACAATAATCATAACAAGAAAAAGAACTTCCAAAGTCAGTTTTTCATGAAATAGGAAACAGATTAATCTTGAGATTCCAAGTTATGTGAAAAATCCCACCAAAATATTTATTATTTGGCAAAAGCTATATAAGAGAACACAGAGAGGCGTAAATAATAACAGCAGGGACTGGAGGGGTGGCATTATTACAGAAAATAACAGAAAAAATAAATTTTCTAAATGTACATTTCTTTCTTCAAAAAGAAATATGAGAACTGGGGTGAGTGGAAATGGCAGAGGAAGCTCTTCTGAAAGTGATTTTGCTCAGGACACGGATTTGTGCAATGAGACACAAAAATCTGTCAGTCACTGTGGCACCAGAGGTAGAGTGAGTCTTTGATACATAAAAATTTCCCTGCCCAATAGATTACTAGAACACTTCCTATATAAAGGAAATGAATAAAAATAGCTTGACAGGGGATATTTAACATACATAATGTTAAAATAATATAATAAAGAAAAGTAAATAAAATTAAAAGAAACATAAGTAAAACTAAAAGAAGATAAAGAACATACAAATGAACCAACAGATAAGGTGACCAGAAAAAATACTGCTGGAAAGAAAATACAAATTTTGTTCATTATTTTCTCATGAATTAACACAAATAGTAAACAAATCACTTTGATCAAAAAGGCAACAACATAGAAATTTAAAGAATCAAGGACAGGAGGATATGAAAGATGGGGGTGACAAAATGGGTATAGAGATGGAATTGAGAAAAAACAGGCAAAATTAACCATAACATCAAAGCAGTGAAGACAAACTTGGAAGGAGCACAAGGATAAAGGTTCTGTAGAAAACACAGTAGTGCACATAGTGAGTAGAAAACAGAAAAAGAAGCTCAAGGAAATGGAAGTTTTAAAAAGCATTAGTTAAAAAAGAGAATAAACGATAGATTTAGAAGGTAGAAAACATATATAGCGTAGGTATAATTGGAGACTATAAAGAGATGAGACAAAACAGTGGAGTAGAACAGAATTTAAAAATGTTTCATAGTAACAAATAAGTACAATTAGAAATAAATCTACAAATTAAAGGGGAAGACCATGTGGTTGAAAAAAGAAATCATGTTTCTTTGAGGGAGGGAAATTAGTTCAACTGGGGCTTTTTTTTTCCCCCACAATATTTAAGGTTAGAAGAAGGTGAAACAACATGGAAGAGATATCCTCAGTGAAAGAAAATAATATCATCAAGAACTTTATATTTCTCCAAACCTTCATCTAATATTTTCAAAGAAAAAATTTTACAAAGCATTTAGGAATTTATCCATATGGCATGCATTTACCAAATGAGATATTGTCAAGTTTACTTAGTTCATTGTTTTGTAATCCGTTAAGATTGGAAACAACCTAAATACATAAACTCTGTATATCCAAATAATGATAAAAGCATAGGAGGAATATTTTATGTGCTGTTAAAGATCTCCAAAATACATTATTAAATTATAAAGGACAAAAGGGTATAGATAATGTTATATAGTTGTTCCTTGATATTTTTGAGAGTTTGGTTCCAGGATCTTCATGACACCAAAATTTACAGATGCTCAAGTCCCTTATAAAAAATGACTTCATATTTGCATATAACTAGGCAAATCCTCCTATATATTTTACATTATCTCTAGATTACTTATAATACCTAATACAATGTAAATGATATTTAAATTGTTGTTTATACTGTATTGTTTAGGGGATAATGACAAGGTTAAAAAAAGCGTGCATATGTGCAGTACAGATGCAATCAGCCATTTTTATTTTCCAAATATTTTCAATTCACAGTTGTTTGAATCCAGGAATGCAGAACCAAAGGATACGGTGGTAGGAGTAAAAATAAAATGCTAGAAAAGTAAAGTATCAGTTTTTGCATTTACATATATTAAAATGTTATAGAAAGCATATAAACACCACTAACAGTAGTTATGTTGAGGGCAAGGTATGGGAAATGGAATATGGACAAGATATTAAGAGAAAGATTTTTACCTTGTCCCTTTTTTGGTTTCTGAATCACTGGAAAACATTATATTCAAAAAGGAAATGAAGAAATTTAATTTAAAAAAGGAAGCATTAATAGAGTAGGTGAACTAACTGAACAAATACTCCTAAGCTCAACCTAGATTTTTTGCTAAGAAGCTTTTGAGAAGTTAACTTAGAAAAATGTCATATTCCCAGCATAATTTTCCCTAACATTGGTTATATCATAAGAAATAAAGAATCCAAATCAATCTGTGATCCTGCCCAGCTATGTGGCTGTAACATATGGCAAAGTAATGTCACTAGCTCTGTTTCAACTAAAATCAAAACATGTGACAATCCTAGTGAATTATTTAAACCACAAAAACAAAATATACACTTACCACTATCATTAGTTGAAGTAATTGTTGTGTATGTGTCTGAGTTGTTACATCTTTGTCATCCTTGGAATATTGGGGTTTCTTAGATGATCTATGTCATATAAAAACTACTGAATATATTTTAGGACAGGGTAATTGGAGATATACACAACTTGCACAAAGCTCCTTATTGAGAGAAGGAGTGCTGTTAGCCACACATAAAAACGGTTGTAGAATACATTCATGAGACCTTAAAAGAAAAAAAAAAATCAATATTGAACTGTCATTCTCCATTGCATATGCAGTGGCTCTCCCTCTCAAAATAACACATATTTTAATGAGCAACCTGGTAACATTCTGTGTTACCTGTATGTACTCTTGTATTACTTAGATGAGAGGACAGAAATACTAAATTGCCACTTCAGCAAATTTTATAAGCAGATACAATTATGTTTTATTTTATATTATTGCCCAGGATTTATAAATAAAATATTACCCCTGGACGGCTTTAAATGTGAAATTTCTAGTGATTCTGTTACTATCCAGCCACTGTAGGTGGAAGTACATTGTTTAACTCTTGAGTAATATAATGCCACACTCATTCTGGACTTTTGTTGTTACTTCCAAATAGGAAATTAAAGTGTAGAAAAATCTAATGGAAAATCAAATTAACCTTACTAAAATGCAAACGTGATGACTAGATACCTTAAAATGAGAACAATCTTGCCTGTTTAATACAATTTTAATTCATTTTAATCAGTTACAGCATTTGCTCATAAATAGGCTATTTCAAAATCCATTTTGCATTTTATTTTAAAAATTGTTTTTTTGAGTACTTTTGCCATCCGTCTGCAGTGCAATTAATTACCTAATACTTAAAAATGTTATTTTGAAAGACACTTGTAAAGTCAAATCATGAGTTTTGTTTCTTCTGGTTTTTATCTTAACTCATCTTTTAATTAACATCTATAGTGATTCTACATTCTCCATCCAAATATATGATAATTAACCGGGATAAGATTAAGTGCAGCGCAAGTTACTGTCAGATAAAACTGCAAATTGCAATACATATTATAAACCAAGGTAAATCATGCTTTCCAAATTAATGTATCTTAAGTTTACCCTGGTGAAAATATAAAACCAAAGCAGCCATTTAGGCCGAAGAAAACTACAAAGCATTTTATTGAATATTAGATGTTAAATGAAGACTGAAAGAATAGATTAATACATTTGTAGTTTGTTATAACTGCTCAGTGCTTCTGCTTTTAAATTAATTCTCTATCCTGTTTAAAAATCTGTTCATATGATATATGTTTTCTAGTATATTCAATATCTAATTACAGTGTTAATCAAAGTATATTTTATAAGATATGTTTCTTTTCTAGAAATAGTAATTGTAGAAGTTATAGCAAGTGGTGCCTATCCTATTAGAATTGATGAGTTTTAATATTCTCTGAACAAAGGACAAATATATATTAGAACACAGCCACAGGTATGTAGATCATTAAAATAAGTAACACACACAAGCAATTAAAATGTGAAAATTTTAACAGTCACATCAGATTTTTTCCTCTTATTGTACTTTCTGAGAATTTCTTCAACAGGTCCACCAGAGAGATATCAAGGGCATAAATATAATGTCTCCTTGGGAAGGAAGTAGTTTTTAACAACATAATTTATAAATTAAATTAATATTTTCTTTTCTCCTTTAAAATTCCCTTAAGTTTTGGCCACTATTGGAAGAGCAAACAAGCAAAACTCACCAAAATAATCAATGACAAATATCCAGTAATGCTGCTTTTTAATATAAAATTACCAAAAACAACAACAACAAAAGGTTATGACTCCAAAATCTCTCCTATGAAATGAGAGTGGGAGCATGTCAAACAGCTGGCATCCACTGCCTTTAGTTTCTCTGTATAATTTTGAAAGTCTATGTTCCTGTTTAGCTTATAGAGAGAAATAAAGCCTAACTCTAGGGTAGTGAAATTGTGGGCACAAAAACATCTAACACAATCTTTTAGAACAGTTGTTTTCAACGACATAATTTTGTCCCCCACAAGAAACATTCGGCAATGTCTGGAAATTGTGTTATTGTCACCACTTCCAGTCGGGTGGCTTGACAAAGACTCCCTTCTTCAGCAAACATTAGTCAGGCTCCCCTGAGCTTTCTTTTCAACTAGAACTTGACCTTGGTGTTCTATGTGCTTGGCCTGTTAACTCAATGTGGTAAAAGGATCCTACTGAGTCAGCTTAGTGAATCACCTCCCTGCCCCCACCTTGACGTCTGAACAAATTCCTCATCCCCTACCATTCATATCTAAGTCTTGGCCTGCCTTTAACAAGATTCCCGTTAAGTTTCTTTGATAAAAATTCCACTATCTTTGATATCTAATCAATTGATTGATTATTAGTATGTTTCTGTCTACTAATCTCCTCACTCTGGTCGTTAGCTATAAATCTCCAGCTATCTTCAGAGTAATCAGAGTTTTGTTCAATCTCTCTTCTCTATTGTAATAGTCTTAGCCTCTATTGCAGTATCCTTAAGTCACATCTTTATTGCTGTTTTTAACAAGCACCGAGTGCATTTCTAAAAATACAATGTTTAAGAATAATTTCCCTTTAGCATGATATTACTGGCATCCAGTACGTAGAGGCCAGGAAAGATCTACAGTGCACACAACAGCCTCACTCGAAAAAGAATTATCCAGTCCAAAATATTGACAGTGCTGTGTTTGACAAACCCTAGCTTAGAGAGTTGTCACAATGGCTAACCTACATATGGCCCACAGTGGCCATCTACCCCTATCTGCAGTAAAATCAATGGACCAATTTGAATGTAGACTGCACTTTCTTTGTTAAGGCCCTCTGGACTGATAAACCATAAACAGGGCTAGAATTTAGGAAATTTGTGGGGAGGAAAGCTGCTGGACGCACCCACCCTAATATAGTGGTGGTGCTTTGGAAATAGATGAATATACACCTGGACATTAGCCAAGGGATGTTTTAAATCTGACTGGATCATATGCTGGCTGGCATAATGCAAACTAACAGGAATATCCCTGAAGCTCAGGCAAACAGGCTCTGCATGATCAGACTTAAAAGTGTGATGCCATTTGGCACCAGAAGCAATAAAAATGGACTGCTCTTACTGAGTTTCCTCCTAAGCCAACCGTGAGCATAACCATCTTAGTACTGAAGAAGCCTCCAGGATGTTAAAGTAATTCAAGCAAAAACTAAAAGAGAGACCAAGCTGCTGACAACCCTGCTCATAAGACAAGTGCAAGTGCAAGTAAATGACTGAAAAAAAAAAATTGAAAGAACAAAAATGAGCAACTAAATATAATTTTGCATTATATGTCGATCGTTAAATTGCTTGATATTGTCACTTGGTATTACTGACATTAATGCTACAACAGCACAGACAGAAAGGTTAATAGGCACAGAAAGCTTACTAGAAGAGGATAGAATAGATGGACATGAATACTTTATGTAAAATCTAATTTAGCTCAATCTGGAAAAATAAAAGTTCTTAAAAATAAAGGGCAGCTATTGCTGCTGTCTGTTACCTGTTTCTCTATGATAGATGGTCAAATGCTACTTAGTGAGAAGAGAGGACATGCCAAGTTGCAAAGACTGAATAGAGGACCTGAAATAGAGACAGAGACAGAACATACATCTTGCTCAACAAAATGCTTTTCTAGATTCGGTTTAAGTTTCTATTGGTTATTATCGGAAATATCAGGCCCCATGTTCAGACTTTGAGCGGTTACAGAAATCACTGAATGCCATTTCAATATCTCCATGCTTCAATCAAATGGGACTATTATTAGTCTCCAGGTAGTGGTGTCCTTGATCCCCTTCTCCTTTAACATAGCATTTTCCCTTCCGGAAAAGCTTTTCCCTAACCCTTGCCTTAGCCACTTTCTCTGGGGAAAGTCATCAAGTCCCTCACCCCTGTGGTCACCATCTCCTGCAAGTCTACCTTGACTATTCCAGGCTTCCAAATGAGTAAAGCGTCCTTTTTCTAACTCTCTGTACTCATTGTACTTATCACTTTGCTTTGTAATTGTTTGTTTACTTATCTGTGAGGACTTTTCTCTTTCACTAATCTCATAGTTTCTGGTACAGTGCTTTACACCCAGGGGAAGTCAATAAACATCCCTGGCTGATTCGCTCTGCTTAAGAGCTTTAGGTAAAATAATTACCTTTTGGTAATTAGAAGCACACCCACACAAAGCAAATGCTAAAAGACGGGAAAATAATAGTCAAGGCAAAGAAGGCTAAAGGAAACTTTTCTCTAACTTTTATTGTCTTTAGAAAAGAACTTTAATTTCCTTTTTCTTTTCTATTATGAAACATAGAATAAATAAATCATCACATATAATTTATTTAATATAGAATATTGATTTAGCATTTCAGCATAAAACACTGCAACATGCAAGAACTCTGGAACCAGATTACCTGGGTTTAAATCTTGACTGTGCCACTTGCTCACAAGTTATTTTACTTTCTTTGTCTGAATTTCTTCTTCTAAAAAATAACGACAAAGCAACAAAAGAGGAATAATAAGGATAGTATCTCCCTCTAAAGTCCGTGTTGAACATTCAGTTAATGGATAGATAGAAAGCACTTGCAGGAATGTCTGGCAAGCAAAAGTGTTCAGTAGATATTATATTATTAAATATTACATCTAATAATTTTTAGCATATTTTGATATATCATATTGATAATATTTGATATTATTAGATTATTAGATATTAGATATTATATAATATAATATTAAATATAATAATATTTAATATAATATTATTAAATATAATAATATTTAATATAATATTATTAAATATAATAATATTTAATATAATATTATTAAATATAATAATATTTAATATAATATTATTATATATAATAATATTTAATATAATATTATTATATATAATAATATTTAATATAATATTATTAAATATAATAATATTTAATAATATTATTAAATATAATAATATTTAATATAATATTATTAAATATAATAATATTTAATATAATATTATTAAATATAATAATATTTAATATAATGTAATTATTAAATATTATATTTAATATTATTATATTAGATATTAATATATTTAATATTATTAGATATATTATAACAACATATTATAGATTAACACATTTGTTTATGTTTTCAAGATACAAGTAGTGTTTGTAATACTGAATGTAATACTGACAACACATCCATCTTTTCTGCTTTGTGAGACTGCATTAAAAACAATAGTAAAGAAAAAAAGCACAAAATATATGCCAGATATTTTTCCATATCTACACTCCACTTTTTATATGATTTGTGAATTACATCTTTTGCCTTTTGATTCTCTTTTTTTTTCTAGCAATTGGAGGGACTTAAATAAATTGGACTGAGGAAGACTGAAGTTGGGTATTTTTTCCAAAACCTCATTCATATTACGTCTCTGTGAGTTAGCAAGTTCAGTGAATGCCACAGATTCTGTGGGAAAGTTCTCTATTAGCGATGCAGGTAGTTCTTCTGGATTCTGCCAATTTCTCCTTTGCTTTGCTCATTCTGTTCTTGTATTAGTTTTCTTTTGCTGCTGTAACAAACAACCACAAACGTAGTGGCTTTAAATGACACAAGTGTGTTAGCATGTAATCCTGTAGATCCCATGTCTGACACTTAACTTCACTGCCCCAGGATCAAGGTGTCAATAGTGTTGCATTCCCTTCTGGAGGTTCTATGCAAAAATGCATTTCCTTGCCTGTTTTAGCTTCTAGAGTCTCATGGCTCCCTTTTCCATCTCCAAAACCTGCAATGTTTCATCTCTATGAACATTCTTCCATAGTTGCCTCTCCCTCTGACTGTGGCCAGGAAAACTTGTCGGCTATTAAGGCTCTATGTGATTAGATTAGACACACCTGGGTAATCCAGGATAATCTCCTTCATTCTACAGTCTGTAAATAAATCACACATGCAATATCCATTTTGACCTGTAAGACAAAATGTTCCAGGGATTAGGATGTGGACCTCTTTTGAGCTCCATTATTCTAGTCAGCACTATTTTTGAATGATAAACTTTTCCAGCTGTTGCTAGCCCTGGAGCACTTGATGTTTCCTTTAAACTTGCCCATACATGTATGAACATAATCTTTTTAAACAGCTTATTTTAATTAAGCAAGGCTACTCACTGACCATCAAAGATAAAAATATATTGAGAAGGGATATCAGTGAAAAAGAGATTATACAAATCTTTTATGAGCGAATGAAGTAATATGGAGCTTCTTAGCTGTACCAGCAGTAAGCAGAAACCTAAAGGATCTACAGCATGAAACAACCATGTGAAACAAGCCAAATACTCTTGAAGAATCCCTGAGAAAATCAGGGCATACAGGTGCCAGGGACTGCAAAAGATAAAGATGAGATGAAACATCTAGAAACAGGAGTATTGAGTACATTTCTGCACAATGTATTAACTATTCTTTCAGGCAGAACAATGGTTTATTTTCGGAGACATTGAATAACAACAGTATGAATTTCTGAGCACGTAAAAAGGTAGATGGTCACGGAAGAAGGCTGAAAACCTGTCCCATCACACAATAGAATGTTGCCCAGCCAACTGGCCTTGCCCTTCCCTTAGAATTCCTGCAGGTAGAGCAATAATCCCAAGTGTTGAAGATTGTAGAGTCCATCATGGAAGTAAAAGAATATACCTACATAAAAGATCTGCATATACTGACATTTTCAGGATTCTTTAATACATTGGCCTTCTGTAGGTGTAGCCAATCACCTACAGAAAGTTGACAAGGTGATAAACACCACTCTATCATCCATTGCCCATGTTAGAGGATGGAGAGATGCTAATAAGAACAAAGTGCTCTGAACAAAAGGCCTGCAAAAGAGAACAACAACAAAAAAAATTAGAATTTTTAAAAAAAATTATAAAGTATCTATAAGGGTTTTTAAAACTCACTATAATTCAAAGCCAAATAAATCTTCCCCAAAATAAAGCAGATAGAAATAAGGATGATATACAAGACAGTATAAAATAGCCTAATAATAGTTCCAAAAGCTATTCCTTTTCCAAAAGAAAAGAAGAGGCAGAGTATGCCACGGGACTGAGGTTGAGGGGCCGGATACTTTCTTCTTTCCCTATCTTTTGGCTTCGAGAGCGCATGCATGGGAATTAAGCTCAAAATGGGTTAGGATTTGCTCATGAAAGTAGCTTCCATTGGAAGTAGCAGTTCTGCCCACCAAGGGCAATGTCCTTGGCATTAGAAGGAGATGATGTTAGTTTAAACTGACTTTTTTGATGTAGCAACTGACCTTGTCTGTTGTTCCTTTTTCTGTTCATACTTAGATTCCCGAATTTCTTTTCATCTGGCTCACCAGCTTTCACAAACAATGCAGTGAATTTCCTAAAACCCTTCTCATAAATTTTTGTTTTGCCTATGTTAGCCAGATTTGTGTTTTTTATCTTGCAACTGATACCAATGCATGATATAATTTATTACCCTTTTACTACTGTTTGACTTTTAACTATTATGTGTGTAGTAATTCTGATGAAAAAAAAAAAAGCATTACCATGGAGAAAGGTTTTATTTATTGTCAGATTCTGGGAAACTTGGATTTTTTAAAATAAAAACATCTGGTCTACTGTTAGTTTTGTAAGGTTTAGATTAGGCAGTGATGATTTTGTTAAGAATCTATGCATTTGAGGCTGGTATGAGGCTTCAAATACCATAATCATTGACAAATAGTATGCCTTTTTGAAATTCTTTAAATAAATAAAATAATGTTGTTATAATTTCGTAGCATTTTCTTTAGTTTTTGTTGTTGTTATGTTCTTTTTCTCATTGTTTAAATGGACATTCTCTCAAAAAAACACACTGTTCTATCACTTTTTTTCCTGTTTCATTTGCTGAGATAACTTACCTCCCCTCTTTCAGTGATAATCTGATTTTTTTTCCCCTGGAAGTTCTTAGCGTAAATAACAAACTTCTCTACTCTGGACAGGCATGATAAGGCAGTAAGGAAATGCTTAGTGTTCAGACATAGACACACACACAGCCTGTCTCCATTCTGTCTCTCTTTCCTCCTTCCTTTCCTGCCTTCACCCTACTACACACACATATACATGTTCACACATTTATCATTTCTTTGTAATTCTTTCTCATTGCTATTTAATACAGACTTTCTGTATAATACCAAATGGTAATATAGACTGTTATAAAATAAATTTTACACATCTAGAAAGGTATATGGAAGTTAAAAATCCTTATTTTTAAGTATTATCTATAGCCAAAGTAAAAAGAAGTTTCTTTCCCTTACACACAGAATATTTTTAGAATTTTTTCCGTATGAGCTAAAGCCTATTGTAGATTGTAGCGATTAATGGGGAAAACAAATGTCAAATTCAGATGTATGTGTTAGGCAAGGTAACTAGAAAATGTATTTTTTTCAAGTTCTAAGCAAAGAATGTCTAGCTTTTTCTGTCCTCTGTGATTGGAACAAGCATGAAATATGTATAACATTTTAGGAGCACATATAATCAATCTAATCCCATTAGACTGGGTAAACAAATTAGCCCTAAAATTGCTGAAATTTATCACAGATTCCAATAGATGTTCACGCATTATTTGCTCTTCTCTGCTTAAACATGTGATGCTAAGTCCGTTTTAGGCTTTCACATAAGGATTAGTCTTTCCAATCATACTGAAGGCCAGATTGCTTAACTACAGCACACAGTGTCATGCTACAGATAATCCATGCCCTTGATTAATGTTCTTATAATCAATTGCTGTCTGGAAGTGACTCCTTCCCATCACACTCTTCACAAAAAGAGCAGATGGTATTTAAAAGGTTATGGCAAGAGGGCATCACAGAGGTCAAATGGAACATCGATCAAATGGGCAGAAAAATTGCCTTTTTTCTTCTTCTTTCTTCTTATCGTAATAATCCACAAGGGAATGAGGTATATGAATTATACTTTGATCTATAGTTCAAGCACTAAGATATTTTCTTGTTTCAAATTTCTGTGTTGTTTTGGGTAATGGACCTGGAAATTGGATTCCTTGTGTGCCAGTAAAAAATTGTACCAATATGATCATCTAAAACAAATAATTCTTAGACTCAAGAAGATTTTTTCAAAACTTTTAATGCAGCCAGAGGGTTTCAACTTAATAAAAGCTTTAATATATAGTGACTGTTGGTTCAGTTTTTTTTTTATAGGTAATGGCTTCATTTATAGAAACTGACACTACATTTTCATTTTTATATGAAATTAAATGCATTGCTTTATGTGTAGATTTTCTCTCTGTCTCCCTGTCTTTATCACATTTGTGACAGTCTATCATACATTTCAAGGTGATCAATTCTTTTTTTAATTGATATGCTTAGTTCTAATTAGGTAAAATCCAGGTTGGGAGGCTACATTCCAATGTGCAGAATACAAAGATTGAAAATAAGTAAGAATATGTAAGTAAAAAGATTCTTTAAAAACCTGAAAGGTGTTACTTTCATTAATTAGCTCCTTCAGATACATAGATGCAGATGGCCTGGCCATGAATAGATCACTTCTACACAATATAATGAAGATGAAGATATTCATTATATAAAGAGAATATGCACTCCAATTCATGCAGAAAAATGAAAAGCCTTTTGAACATGATGGTAGAGGGCTCATGATGTGAGATATTTCTGTAGGTTTCTATTGTTCAAGGTACAATCACATGCATTTTCTGATGACTCAACAATCATTTATTGAGTGGCTGTTTTGTACATAAGCATGTTAGTCACTTGGAGATGCAGATTTTTTTTTTTCCCAAACAAGTAAGAGTACAGTGGTGCAGTCATGGCTTAAGGACATCTTTATGGTCATGTACGATTAAGGAGGAAATAATATCCATACAAAAATAACATTATCAGACAGTTTTTATTAAAAAAAATTCATAGGAGAATAACTGGCTAAATGTAGGATGGGTAGTTCTCACAATACCGTTTATGTGATGTCACTAGAAAAAGAGATATCTATGGACTATATTGGTTAAATAACGTTTCACTCTGTTGAAGAAAGGGCTTTAAGAATAAATAGCCCCACATGCATTTATACCTATGTAACAAACATGCATGTTTTGCTCATGTACCACAGAACTTAAAGTAAAATTTAAAAAAAATTAAGAAGAGAATAAATAGCTTTTAGAGAGTCACTGGGACCAAGGAAAGCGGAAGCAAAGGTACAGAAATGGAATATTCCTAGCATGTTTAGGCCGATAGAACTTCAGTATACGTTACACACAGCAGGTGTATTTGAAAAAGTCTGGTGTTCAGATGGCAAAGGGGCCTAAATATTATATATAAATGTTGCATCTTATCATGGATGCAAATGTTTTTGAGAGAGAGTTTTATTTCACATAATCCTATGTGATGCCTTTCCAGTAATATATAAATGATATTTCCATTTTTCTAACTAACAATTTTTTTTTTTGAGATGGAGTCTCATTCTGTCACCCAGGCTGGAGTGCAGTGGCACAATCTCAGCTCACTGCAAACTCCGCCTCCCAGGTTCAAGTGACTCTCCTGTCTCAGCCTCCCGAGTAGCTGGGATTACAGGCGTGCACCACTACGCCTGGCTAATTTTCGTATTTTTAGTAGAGAGGGGTTTCACCATATTGTCCAGGCTAGTCTCGAACTCCTGACATTGTGATCTGCCCGCCTCAGCCTCCAAAAATGCAGGGATTACATGAATGAGTCACCGCACCTGGCTGGGAAGTAACAAATTTAACTCTTACACACATATATTGGCTTTTACCAGTGTCGTACTTACTAGAATCAATTAATTTGAAACTGATTAAAACCAATATAGCTAGATGTCACTCTGAAGGAACTGAAGTCTAATCCTGCCAAAATGCTAATGTCAAAAGATTGGAGAACATTCACTCTGTGGTTGTAACATGCATTACAATAGGAGGCAGGAGTAATCAGGAAAGTTTCATTATAGAAACGGATTGCTGGACTTTGGATAGTTTATTAAGTGATTACTCTACATCAGGCCTGAGGAGACATAGACATTGCTTCTCAGGAGTTTCCAATCTAGAGTGAAAGGAAAATACATTTTGAGACCCCAAAACCACTAAGCCAAAGGGAAAATTCCAGCTGGGAAGTGCTTCAGCAAACCTGCCTCCCATTTTATTCTTAAATAAGATAGCTACAAAGATAAAATAAATAAATAAATAAATAAATAAATAAATAAATAAATAAATAAATAAATAAGGTACATACTTCCCTCATCATTTGCCCACAAGGAAATACTTTGTGGTCCTCAAGATTCTTACCCTAAAACAGTTCTGATGAATTTCACCCTGGCAATGTAAATTGATAGCGTATCTTCACAGGTGCAGGACAAAGGGCAGAGAGGACTCAGTCATCCCTCTGCTCACCTGAGACAAATGCATACCTGATTGCTTCCTCTGCCAGATTATATCTGTAAAAATGCAGATTCCCTAAGCCAGAATAAGGCTTAAGTGACTATTCCTAGACTGCCCTCTCACATGTAAATTGTGTATTCAGTGAAAGGCTAATCAAGGACTTCAAAAGAATACAACCTTTTTGTGTCTTATCTACCTATGACTTGGAAGCCCCTACTTCGAGTTGTCCCAGTTTTCTAGACCAAACCAATATACATCTTACACATATCATTATGTCTCATGTCCTCCCCAAAATGTATAAATGCAAGCTATGCCCCAACCACCTTAGGCACAGGTTATCAGTACTTCCTGAGGCTGTGTCACTGGAGTGTCATTAACGTTAGCAAAATAAATGTTCTAAATTGATTCAGAGCTGTCTCAGATACTTTTGGGTTCACACTAGTATACAAAGCATGCTGCTATGTAGAGCATGATGAATGATATGGATCCCATAAGAGGGACACATACTCATGGCCCAGAAGACTTTTTGAAAAGGAGAATGTAAGAGCTAATCTTGGAGAGAAGCACAGCCTTCAATAGTATATAAGAAGGAAAACTACCAAAATGGACTGGAGCAGGTTTTGACATTCCAAGTGTTTTTAGCCTGACCCATTGCAAATGCTTTTAGCCTGACCCAGATATTCTGATATAGCTCTGGGGTCAGGACAAGAGGCACTTCTTCTAACTCCCTAAGAATCACTCAATTTAGTCTGAAGAAAAAAAATATGGAATATTGACTGTATTTTAGATATAGCTATGCAAAATGGGAGTGAGAATAGAAATAGGAAAGCCAGCTAAAATTTGCCTTAATCCTAGAGATGAAGGATATATTCTTGTCTGTGTGATCCCTTCAGACATCAATATCGTTCTGGCTTTCTCTACACAAATGATGGGTAAAAGATGGGAAAAATATCAGTTCTTTCTCATCATGATTAAAACATAAAAACTTTTAATCTATCCAATAGAAAGAAATTGATGCAGATGCCTAGTTCACGCTAATTTTCCCGGGGTCATGTCTGGGCTAATACCATTATCCTTGGGAAGCTCTTCCTTCTTCCAGAACCCTCACTCTATTGGGAAATGTAAGTGCGAGACGTTATGTTATGCAGTCAGCCTTTTCAGCCACAGTGATTGGTTTAAGGGTGTACACATGACAGAGCCTGAATTAATTGACTTCTAACCTAGCACTCTTCTCAAAAAGAAACTGGGACAGACATAGAGACCTCTTAATTTCTCAGAATTCCAAGCTGTGAAACCTAAGTCCAAAATAGGAAACTGCTTGTTCTGCGTTTCCTATTATTGCTTCAGAAAATGAAGGTAGAAGATATGAGATAATTATTTTAGTATTAGACAAATTATTAGTTTCATATGCAAATGCATTGTTTCCTATACATAAATTTAATCATGCCATTGACCAATATTTATTCACAACTGCTATTGTCTTGGGGTGCAGTTTCAGGTGTACATGGAATACATAGAATGAGATTCATCCAATGCCTTAAAAGGCATTTGTATGCTAAAGCAATTTTATGAATAACGGCTACTTTCCTTTCTCTCCACTGTCACAGCACTTCAGGTCCTGATCACATTCTTTATGATTTACAGCATGCATTTCAAAATCAAGATCCCTGCAAATACGTTAAGTTTTTATAGTGCCACTTTGTGTCCTTGTACACAAATGAAGAGTCAGATGCATTCCTGGACATAAATACAAATCCTTGTGTCTATAGGTAAATATCAACCTTGAAAAATGAAACCTAGCCTGCATTCATTGCAGATTACTGTTTTTAATTTCTTTGCTAATATTACAATAATAGACACTGTTATAATATCAAGGTTACTAAAATATCTTCATGGAAAAAAGAGTCTATAATCAAGTTCTTACAGGATAATTTACCTGGCATTTACCAGCCCCTATTTTAAAATTTGTTTTACACACAAATAAGCCTATTCTAGTGCAGAAAAAATTGAAAAAGGCCTTATGATTTATTTTTTTGAAGCCATAATTGGGTGGAACATTTATCAATAAGCATGAACTGTCACCAGTATTTGTACATGGCAGTTTTCCTAGATGAAAACACTGAATCAAATCATAGTTATTTTAAATACTTTGTTAAAAACAAAATTTGATGTTTTCTTGATTCATCCCTGATTTGCTATAGAATTAAATGAATATAATTTGTGATACTGAAGAGTGCCTTTTAAAAAATACTTACAAAAATAATTATAGACATTGGGAACCAAATGAACTAGAGAGCTAAAGAATATAAACAAGCAGTGTGTGGTCAAGATTACTCCGATTGTGGAGAGGATGCCAACTCTATGACCCCCACGGTGTGGGTCATGATTTTCCTACACGTCCCTTCTTTAATTAGAATAAACAAAATAGTCATGAACCTCTTGCGAAATGTGCTGCAGGAACAGAGATCATTAAGTACATCAGTGAGTTCCATAAAAGAATTAGAGCAATAATGCTTAAGGGAAAGCCTCATATCAACAGGATCAAAATTTTTATTCAGAGATGCGCTTAAAAATAGATGAGACACAAAAATTAAAAAGCATCTTCACGTGTTTTAGACCCCAATGCTACCTTTGTATTAAACTTCTTTCATATACATTTTAGTTATTATTCAACAGAGATACAAAAAGAGTAAATAAAATAATCACTACTAGGTGGCTGGCAATCGTTTTAAATTTTTTTATATTAAGGTCTATGCTAAATCTTGTGGAGGAGAAAAGCAGTCAGCTCAAAAGTTTGTGCCCATCTGTACAGTGCCAGTAGGGGAAATAGCAAGATTCCACTCAGGAAGAATATATAGATGTTCATTGTAGCCTTTATTTATGTGAATATGTATCTATTAATTATTGTCTATATTTAAGGTATACAATATGATGTTCTGAATATATATATATATACACACACACACACAAACACTGAAATTACTACAGTCAATCATATTAACATATAAGTCACTTCACATATTGGTAAGAGAACGTGTGTGTGTGTGTGTGTGTGTGTGTGTGTGTGTCTGTGTGTGTGTTTGTGTGTGTGTGTGTATGTTAAGAGAATCTAAAATCTAGTCTCTTGGCAAATTTCCAGTATACAATACAATATTAGGAATTACAGTCCACTTGCCACACATTAGATCCTCTGAATTATTCAGCCACATAATAGCAACTTTGTACCCTTTGACCAAGATCTCTCCATTCTCCCACACACAAGCCCCTGGCCACCACCTTATTCTCTCTGGTTCTATGTATTTGACTTTTTCCAGATTCTACTGTAATTGAGATCGTGTAGTATTTTTCTTTCTGTGTCTGGCTTATTTCATTCACTTAAAGACAGATGAGATATAAAGATACTTTGTTAAAAACAAACTTTGACGTTTCCTTGATTCATCCCTGATTTTCTATAGAATTAAATGAATATAATTTGTGATATTCATGATATGTGTATCCCGCAGGTTCATCCATGTGGTCACAAATTACAGTGTCTCCTTTTTTAAGGCTGAATGATATTTCATTGTGTATATAGAACACAATTTATTTATTAGTCCATTAATTGTCACTCGGGTTGTTTTAATATCTTGGCTTTTGCGAATAATGCTGCAATGAACATGAGAGTGCACACATCTCTGCAAGGGGGTGATTTCATTTCCTCTGGGCATATATCCAGAAAAACGATTGTTGGCTCATACGGTAGTTCTATTTTTAATTTTCCGAGGAACCTTCACGCTGTTTTCCATAAGAGTTGTACAAGTTTACATTCCCACCAAGTGTTCCTTCTTCTCTATTCTCTGGTCAATATTTGCCATCTTTTGTCTTCGATACCAGCTATCCTAGTGGGTTTAAAGTGGTATCTCATTGTGGTTTTAATTTGCATATCCCTGCCATTTAGTGATGTCGAGCACCTTTTCGTTTACCGGTTGGCAATTTTGTCTTCTTTGGAAAAATGTCTATTCAGTTCCTTTCCCCATTTTTTCAGTTGGGCTTTTTATTTTTTTTGCTTTCGAGTTGTGTGGACTTCTTATAAATATTGAATATTAAACTTTTATCACATATATGGTTCACAAATATTTTCTTCCAATTCATAGGCTGTGTTTTTTAAATTGTTTCCTTGCTGTGCAAAAGCTCACTAGTTTAATGCAGTCCACTTCTTTACTTTTACTTTTTTTGCCTGAGATTTAGGTATGATATCCAAAAAATTATTGCCAACATCTGTTAAAAAACTTTTTGCCTATTTTTAAAGGAGATTTATAGTTTCCGTTCTTCCTTTTAGGTGTTTGATTAATTTTGAGGGGTTTTGTGCATATTGTAAGATAAAGATTCAGTTTTGTTCTTACACATGTGTGTATGCAATTTTCCCAACACTATATATTGAAGAAACTATCCTGGCTGAGCGTGGTGGCTCATGCCTGTAATCCCAGCACTTTGCGAGGCCAAGGCGGGTGGATCACTTGAGGTCAGGAGTTTGAGAGCAGCCTGGCCAACATGGCGAGACCGTGTCTCTACTAAAAATACAAACATCAGCGAGGTGAGGTGTTGGGCACCTGTAATCCCAGCTACTCTGGAAGCTGAGGCAGGAGAATCACTTGAACCCAGAAGGTGGAGTTTGCAGTGAGCCGAGATCGTGCCACTACACTCCAGCATGGGCGACAGAGCAAGACTCTATCTCAAAACAAATATATACAATAAAAATAAATGAATAAAAATAAATAGACTATACTTTCTCCTTTGCTGTCTTCTTGGTGTACCCTTGCTAAAAATTAGTTGATTGTATATGCATGGGTTTATTTCTTGGCTTTCCATTTTGATCTATTGGTCTATGTCTCTGGTTTTATCCCAGCACCATATTGGGTTTGATTACTATTACTTTATAACATAATCATAGCATTATTTATACTTATGTTTTTATCAAGATAGTATATATATATATATTTGCTAATTAATCAAATAGTATGAAGGGCTTATGGAGAAAGCAGTAGTGTGAAACCATAATCCTATTTACCTTAAGATTTTCCCTAATTTTAATATTTTTAACTGAATATAAACACATTTATGGAAAATACATACTTCTATTTTTAATTCATATCCTACAGTCTTTGTATTTATGAAAAATGAGAATGTTGCTTATTTATGCAAACTTTTCTGCCTCTAAATTTTGTCAGATGTTTGATAGTTACATTATTATTTTAGTTAATGTATGATACCTTCTATAACTTTAAATAATATATTGAGATCTCATTTGTTCCATCAAATACAGGCAGTACTTCTTGCTTTTGCCCTTTTTTTGAAACGAGAAAAATAGCTACGTTTATCTCCATCGTTTTTCCATCTTCCCACATTCCACTGTCATCTAGTTATTTTTAATATTTTAATACTAAAATAACTTTATTATTTACATTCCGTATTCTATGTTTGTTTCTAGATAGATATGACAATAAGTATACCTAACAATTTTATGGTATGGGCATCAAGCGTATCAGAATGCAGCACCCTCAATGTGTTTAGATGTCATTTGTGAACAACTCTTATGGCAACACAAGTATATTATAGATAACAGTTAAAACCAACAAAGCATTTATAGTATTTTAATTATTGAAATGTCTTTAGCACCAGATTATATAATATCTACTGTCGTGTCCAGTGATATTGATTCTCATTTCTTCCCAGTGTGTTTAATGTTGTGGTGTTGCCCCTGGTGAATCTGCTTCTGTTTTGACCATTAAACAATTGTTAATGACAATGAGATGGTGTGACGTGCTAATAAATAAGACTGCCAGAATGTCATATCCAGCCAAACTAAGCTTCATAAGTGAAGGAGAAATAAAATTCTTTGAACAAGCAAATGCTGAGGGATTTTGTTGCCACCAGGCATGCCTTGGAGGAACTCCTGAAGGAAGCAGTAAACACGGAAAAGAAAAATCATTACCAGCCACTACAAAAACACACTAAAGTACACAGACCAATGACACTATGAAGTAACTACATTAACAAGTCTGCAAAATTAACCAGCTAGCACTATGATGACAGGATCAAATTCACACATAACAACATTAACCTTAAATGTAAATGGGCAAAATGCTCCAATTAAAAGATACAGAATGGCAAGCTGATTAAAAAGACAAGATTCATCAGTGTGCTTTTTTCAAGAGATACATTTCACATTCAAAGACACTCATAGGCTCAAAATAAACGGATGGAGGGGAATTTGCCAAGTAAATGGAAAGCAGAATAAAGCAGTGTTGCAATCATAGTTTCTGACAAAATAGACTTTAAATCAACAAAGGTCAAAAAAGACAAAGAAGGTTGTTACATAATGGTAAAGTGTTCAATTCAATGAGAATAGCTAACAATCATAAATATATATGCACCCAATATAGCAGCACTCAGATTCATAAAACAAGTTCTTAAAGACCTACAAAGAGACTTAGACCCCCACACAATAATAGTGAGAGACTTTAATACCCCACTGTTAATGTTAGACAGATCATTGAGACAGAAAATTAACAAAGATATTCAGGACTTGAACTCAGCTCTGGACCAAGTGGAACTGAATGATATCTACAGAAATCTCCAGTACAAAAGAAAAGAATATACTAATTTTCTCAGTGCCACATGGAACTTACTCACATAATTGAAAGTAAAACACTCCTCGGCAAATGCAAAAGAACGAAATCATAACAAAGAGTTTCTCAGACCTACAGCACAATCAAATTAGAACTCAAGATTAAGAAACTCACTAAAACCACACAATTTCATGAAAATTGAACAACTTGCTCCTGAATGATGTTTGGGTAAATAATGAAATTCAGGCAGAAATCAAGAAGTTCTTTGAAACCAATGAGAACAAAGAGACAACGTATCAGAATCTCTGGGACTCAGCTAAAGCAGTGTTAAGAGGAAAATTTATAGCACTAAATGCCAACATTGAAAATCTAAAAAGATCTCAAATCATCACCCTTATATCGCAAGTAGAAGAACCAGAAAACCGGGAGCAAACAAACCCCAGAGCTAGCAGAAGACAACAAATAACCAAGCTCAGAGTGGCATTGAAGGAGATAGAGACACAAAAAACCCTTTAAAAAATCAACAAATCCAAGAGCTGGTTTTCTGAGGAAAAAAAAAATCAATAAAATAGAATGCTAGCTAGACTAATTAAGAAGAAAAGAGAGAAGATTCAAATAAACACAATCAGAAAAGATAAGAGGGATACCACCACTGACCCCACAGAAATATAAATAACCATCAAAGATACAGTAAACAACTCTATGCAAATAAACTGAAGAATCTAGAAGAAATGGATACATTCCTGGATGAATACACCCTCCCAAGATGGAACCAGAAAAAGCTGGATTCTTTAACAGACCAGTAACAAGTTCTGAAATTGGAGCAGTAACAAATAGCCTACCAAGCAAAAACAGCCCAGGACCAGAGGGATTTACACTGAATTTTACCAGAGGTAAAAAGAGGAGCTGGTAACATTTCTTCTGTAACTATTCCAAATAATTGAAAAGGAGAATCTCCTCTTTAACTCGTTTTATGAGGCCAGCATCATCCTGATACCAAAAGCTAGTAGAGATACACAAGCAACAACAAAAAGAAAACTTCAGGCCGTGATGAACATCAAGGCAAAAATCCTCAATAAATTACTGGCAAACTGAATCCAGCAGTACATCGAAAATCTTATCCACCACTATCAAGTCAGCTTCATCCTGGGTTGCAAGGCTGGTTCAATATATCCAAATCAACAAACATAACATATCACATAAACAGAACTAAAGACAAAAGCCATGTGATTTTCTCAATAGACACAGAAAAGGCCTTCGATAAAATTCAACATCCCTTCATATTAAAAACACTCGATACAACTAGGTATTGATGGAACCTATGTCAAAATAATAAGATCCATTTATGACAAACCCACAGCCAATATTATACTGAATGGGCAAAAGCTGGAAGCATTCCCCTTGAAAATTGGCACAAAATAAGGATGCCCTCTCTTACCACTCTTATTCAACATAGTATTGGAAGTTCTGGCCAGGGCAATCAGGCAAGAGAAAGAAATAAAGGATATTCAAATATGAAGAGAGGAAGTCAAATTGTCTTTGTTTGCAGATAACATAATCCTATATATAGAAAACCCCATCAACTCAACCTAAAAAGTGTCTTAAGCTGATAATTAACTTCAGCAAAGTCTCAGGATACAAAATAAATGTGCAGAAATTACAAGCATTCTTTACACCAACAACAGATAAGCAGAGAGCCAAATCATGAATGAAATCCCATTCGCAATTGCCAAAAAGAGAATAAAATACCTAGGAATACAGCTAACAAGGGAATTAAAAGCCCTCTTCAAGGAGAACTACAAACCACTGCTCAAGGAAATCAGAGAGGACACAAACAGATGGAAAAAACATTCCACACTCATGGAGAGTAAGAATCAATATCATGAAAAGGGCTATACTGTGCAAAGCAATTTATAGATTCAATGCTATTCACATTAAACTACAATTGAAATTCTTCACAGAATTAGAAAAAAACTATTTTAAAATCCATATGGAACCATAAAAGAGCTTGTATAGCCAGAGCAATCCTAAGCAAAAAGAACAAAGCTGGAGGCATCTTACTACCTGATTTCAAACTATACTACAAGGCTACATTAACCAAAACAGCAAAGTGCTGGTACAAAAAACAGGCACATAGACCAATGGAACACAATAGAGACATCAGAAATAAGACTGCACATCTACAACCATCTGAGCTTCAACAACCCTAAAAAAAACAAGCAATGGGGAAAGATTCCCTATTTAACAAAGGATGCT
Source organism: Homo sapiens (assembly GCF_000001405.40). Lineage (NCBI taxonomy): Eukaryota > Metazoa > Chordata > Mammalia > Primates > Hominidae > Homo > Homo sapiens. Next base: position 80,251,043 of record NC_000003.12, read on the forward strand.
GGGAGAACTGGCTAGCCATATGTAGAAAATTGAAATTGGACCCCTTCCTTACACCTTATACAAAAATTAACTTGAGATGGATTAAAGACTTAAATGTAAAACCCAAAACTATCAAAACCCTAGAAGAAAATCTAGGCAACACCATTTAGGACATAGGCATGGGCAAAGATTTTCTGATGAAATTGCCAAAAGCAATTGCAACAGAAGCCAAAATTGGCAATTGTGATCTAATTAGACTAAAGAGCTTCTGAACAGCAAAAGAGACTCATCAAAGCGAACCTCCTGTCAGAGGAGGGTGGGTGGGACAGATAGCATTAGGGAAAAGAGTTAATGCATGGTGGGCTTAAAACCTAGGTGAGTGGTTGACAGGTGCAGCAAACCACCATGGCACACGATTACCTAGGTAACAAACCTACACATCCTGCACATGTACCCCAGAACTTAAAAAATACAATTAAATTTTTTAAAAATGTAATCCCCCCAGATTAAGAGTCTCTGCATGTGGAGAAAGCCATGCTTTCTGTCAGCCGAAATTAATTTTTACTGTTGCTTCTAACGGTGTCATTTATACAATTACTCTTTTTATTTTTTTGTTTGTTTGAGCCAAGGTCCGGCTCTTTTGCCCAAGCTGGAGTGCAGTGACAAGGTCTGGACTCACTGCAACCTTCGCCACCCAGGCTCAAGTGATCGTCTCACATCATCCTTTTAAATATCTAGGACTACAGGCACACACCACAGCTAATTCTAGTATTTTTTGTAGAGATGTTTTTTCTCCATGCTGCACAGGCTGATCTCAAACTTGTGACGTCAAGCAATCCACCAGGCTCATCCTCTCAAAGTGTTGGGATTACAGGTGTGAGCTACTGTGCCGAGCTACAATTACTCTTCTTGAAATGAGCTGCCAATGATATTCAGTGTAGGTTCTCTTCTGTAGGAAAGGTAATATTATGTTTCAAAAATGACTTCGAGGCTGGGCGCAGTGCCTCACGCCTGTAATCCCAACACTTTGGGAGGCCGAGGTGGGCGGATCACTTGGAGTTCAAGATCAACCTGGCCAACGTGATGAAACCCCATCTCTACTAAAAATACAAAAATTATCTGGGCATGGTGGTGCACTCCTATAATCCCAGATACTCAGGAGGTTGAGGCGGGAGACTCGCTTGAACCCAGGAGGTGGAGGTTGCAGTAAGCCAAGATGACACCACTGAACTCCAGCCTAGATGACAGACAGACTCCATCTCAAAATAAATAAATAAATAAATAAATAAATAAATAAATAAATAAATAAAAATAAAAAAGACCTTGAACTATGATGTCAGGATATAAGAAGTCAACTTACCATTGCAGAAAAATAATACAGCATAATCATGACCATGGACATTTGGATTGCCTCCAGTGTTTGACTTTTATGATGCTGCTTTGATCATGTGCATACAGGTCTTTGTTTCAATAAATGTTTGCAATTGTCTTGAGTAGATACCTAGACAAGAGATTGCTGAGTCATATGGTGAGGATACGTTTATTTATTTATTTAATTTATTTATTTTTATTTATTTAAAGACAGGGACTTACTCTCTTGTCCAGGCTGGAGTGCAGTGGCACAATCACAGCTCACTGCAGCTTCTACCCCCTTGGACTCAGTCTCCCAAGTAGCCAGGACCACAGGCGTGAGCCACTACACCCAGCTAATTTTTACTTTTTTTGTAGAGACAGAATTTTGCTATGTTGCCCAGGCTAGTCTCAAACTCCTAGGCGCAAGTGATCCACTTGCCTTGGCCTCCCAAAGTGCTGGGATTGCAGGAGTGAGCTACTGTTTTTGGCCTGTATTTTTAATTTTTTAAAGAAACTGATAAATCATCTGTCTTGGTACATTTTGTGCTGCTATAACAAAATATCTGAGGCTGGGTAATTCATAAAGAAAGAAGTATATTGGACTCACAATTCTGCTGTGAAGTAGCAGGAAATAAAGGGGCTGAGGTGAGCTAAAAAATATACAAGGTTGGGAAAGAGGAAGAAAAAATAGCTGTAAACAAATACAGAATAAAATAAAACAACCATGAGAAAATAACTTCTGTGAATTTATGGCCACAGAATTAGAACTAATTAAGGTCAAGGTTGCGTTTCCTCAATCAAAGGCCTTCTCAACGGCAGCAAAATCCTCAAATCTAGAAGTATGTTACTTGACAGATGTCAATCATAGTCAAGCAGAACTCATTGTGGAACATTCCATGGAAAGAGAAGCGGAAAAATTCTTTTAAATAATTAACTTTCTTTATGGATATTATGTTTTCCAGTTGCATAGTACCAAATCCTAATAAGCCCATCCAAATAGGTTGTTTGTCCTAAAACTGTCTCCTGATGTTTGACCTAATAGCAATGTAAATATTATTTGCATCTGTGCATACAGACTTTCACTCACCTTCATTGCTAGTTACAAAGTATCCTACTCTGGCAAAAAAAAAAAAAAAATTAAAAATTAAAAAATAATATCAAGTTTAGATTGCAGCTCTAAATGTGTCAGTTTGTATGAAATAGAACTCCAAGGCATCTTGATGAGTCTTCAGTGGGTGCTTGTTGATAATCTGCATTGTGCTTGTTAATTTGCCATGTAGGATGTCTTTGAACCCAAGAGTCAAAATTATATTATTATCTATTCTCCAGTTCAATTTTGCAGACACTGAATTTGGAGTGGCTATAGTGTCTCTAGATATAACTAACTCACTAGCTCCTTGGAAAACTAGTATGGATTTCAGAAAACAATTGGAATTTGGAGATATAATTTTGAAATTATCAAAACTTAGTAGATACTAAAAATTAAGAGAGTAAACAATATCCGTTTGGAAGAACATGGATAGAGGTAATATTGAAAATAAAAGAGAGGCCATCACTGGGGAAAGAAAGTAAGATAGCTGGTTCGGTTTCTGGTCTCAAGGGAGGTTGTATTCATGTCTTCTCATCTCCCAAGTTTTTGGCTCCATAGAAACTGGAGTCATAGAAGTAGTGGTAGGAGATTGATTTTTCTTTGCTTCATAGAGTTTGGGAGAGTCATACTCCAGTCCCAGGTTTCCAGCAGTAATTCAGCCTCCAACTCCCTGACTCTCTTGGAGTAATTCTTTTCCTCCTCATTCTGTAAGATATGTGGCTCCAGCCACTTTTGCAGGCTTTCAGTGCTTGTTAAGTGAAGTTTCAGCCCCACTTACCCACTTTACTTTTTGTTTTGTTTTTAAAAATGTGTGGTCTCCAAAGATGTATGTTTTGCCTTATAAAATGAAAACAGGCTTTTCTTTGAATACAGACATTAGATTATATATTTTTTGGAACAGCAGAATAGTTCAAAACATGAAAACCTAAAGCAAGCCGTCTTGATCAGAAATCATAGCCCTTTTAGTATAACATTAGTAGCCCCTCACTGTTAAATGTGTTTTTACCACGAATAAAGGGCTACAAAAATTCCTGCAATTTAGGTACAGAGGGTACTGAAAAAGAGAGAGAGATATTAACTTACCCAAAATAAATAAATCATGTTACTCATTTACCTGAGATTCAAAGCCAGATATTTTGATCTCTTACCTTTTACTTATTTTAACCCACGACACTTGCTTCCAAATATAGCTGGAAAAACAAATAGGCTAAACAATACAGTAAGTCAAATTCTTTCTTCTAAACTCAACTGATGAGAGCTGCAGAAATTCAGGCTTTTAGCCAAACAAAAGTTCAGCATTCTCAATAGCAACTGTCCACTAAAGCTTGTCTATGCCTATGCGATGGAGTCCCTCGAGTTGCCATAAACAAAAACGTGATAGAAAGATCCATGTGCACTCCTTGGAGGTGAAAATAAGAAGTGATAGTTCTCCCTCACTCTTTACTAAAAAAATTCTAGGCCGGGCATGGTGGCTCACTCCTGTAATCCCAATACTTTGGGAAGCCCAGGTGGGTGGATCACGAGGTCAAGAGTTCAAGACCAGTCTGGCCAAGATGGTAGAAACCCCATCTCTACTAAAAATACAAAAATTAGCCAGGCATGGCGGCGGATGCCTGTAGTCCCAGCTACTTGGGAGGTTGAGGCAGAGAATTGCTTGAACCCGGGAGGCAGAAGTTGCACTGAGCCAAGATCACGCCACTGCACTCCAGCCTGGGAAACAGAGCAAGATTCCATCTTAAAATAAAATAAAATAAAATAAAGTAAAAATTCTAGATTTGCTTTGCATGATAGTGTGAGTGATGGCCATATAGAATACTGAGAAGAAAATACTGTCTCCTTCCAAGACCAAGCACAAGAGTTTAGAGCTCCTGAAGCCTCCTTCTGTTTATTATTAATTTGTTATATGACCTAGAGCATTTAAATCCTCCATTTAAGTGTTTATCCAAGTCCCTATCTTAATAAGGGCTTGCCTCAACCAGTCCCTCTATTTTCCTTTTCCTTACTCATTTTGTAATCTTTTTATCTTTCCTTTCATTTGTAAGGAAAGGTAGAGTCTAACATTTTTAACCATTTCATTTTCATGCTCTGCTTCACACTCTGCAAGGGGCAATTGATAGCTTTGCAGAACAAACTTTTCTTTTCATGCTCTCTGGGATGAACATTTGGAAAGTAGAAAGAAATCAGGCAAAAGAGAAAAACACCTGGATTTTTAGCCCGCCTACGTAATAATGAGTTTCTTGCTCTAAAGTAAATGAGTTAATTGCATCGATAGGAACAATTTAATTTAATTTAATTGGAATGTGAACAGAGAGAAGATGTCTGAAGGCATCAAATCACACCTGGAAAGTAAAAGTCATAATCTTTCCCATTAAGTTAAATGAGGAAAAGGCCCATTTTAGAAATGACTTGTGATGCCTTCAGCAATTTGACCCCAATTTTTTTTTCAAAATAGACTGCAATATAAACTAATATAGTCATCTTCAATATTCTGTATATAGCTGAAAAACTAGATTATATTAAATATATAAATTAGGGTCAATTTTTAAAATGTAAGTTTATCCTCTAAATTATTGGCATTTGATATATGAATGATAAAAGAACTTGTATAAAAACATGCATCATCTGCTATCAATCATCATTTGTAAATACTACACACAAAATGTTTTATATTTATTACATATTGTACTCCCACAAAAAACCCTGGTAAAGTGGGTATTAAAATGTACTATCATATCATTGTTATGGATAAGAAAATATGAGTCTGAGAGAACTTAAGCCATTTTCCTTAAATCAATTAAGAGTAAATGCCATAGTTAGAATTAGAATTCAGATTTCCCACGTCCTGGTCCTGATTTTTTGTTTTTAAACATTACACTAGGCAATCAGGAAAGACATACATGTTTAATATCCACCTTTGTTATTTTATTGTTATTATTAATCCATTCATGATCAACTAATGTCAACTTTATTCCAAATATTCACATATTTGTCTTTTTGCTACCTGTGTTCTTTTCCTCTTGGAAGATATATTGCTAACCCATACAGAGTGCCTTCTCCTAAATTTATGGAAAGGTGAACAACTGACTTACTCTCAAATAGCTAGCAAGTAATCTTCAATTGAAGTGATAATTTTTGTTTACAGTGGTGAGTTTCATTAGGAGGATATAACTGGATTAGCTTCCTCTTCCAAATCTGATTGACTTCCACTGCGGAGGGAATACTTCATGTAAGTTTAGCATGTCAGCTCCTAATGCTCTTGAGAATTGTAAATTTAAAGTTTGACTTCATGCAGAGAAACTGAAATCTTCCAAGATCCAAATATAGCATACTTCAAGACTCTTTGTGATTCTAGCCAGTAATATTAATGTTTTTGTGTTAGACACAGTGTGGTAGACTCTTTCACTTGATAAATATTAACAGAATGCATCCCATGGCCAAACTTGAAAGTAAATATTGCAAGGCAAACATTCCCCTCAGATTTTCTTAAACCTAAAACTATGGGTTCCATTCTAGCCTATAACTTGTTTTGTGTCTATCCACCTTTTTTTTTTTTTTTTTTTTGACAGAGTCTCACTCTGTCGCCCAGGCTGGAGTGCAGTGGCACAATCTCAGCTCACTGCAACCTCCACCTCCTGGGTTCAAGAGATTCTCCTGCCTCAGCCTCCCGAGTAGCTGGGACTACAGGTGCCACTACGCCTGGCTAATTTTTTGTATTTTTAGTAGAGATGGGGTTACACCATGTTGGTCAGGCTGGTCTTGAATTCCTGACCTCAGATGATCCACCCGCCTCAGCCTCCCAAAGTGCTGGGATTACAGGCGTGAGCCACTGTGCCGGGCCATCTATCCACTTCTAAGAGTAAAAATGGACACTGGATCATGTAAAGCAATTCCTTCCGAAATTTGATAATAAAGTGATACAGCATACACAGAGTTTAAAAGAATGTGCTGTAGAACCAAATAGCTTGGGTTAGAAACCTGACTTTGCCACTTACCAATGGTGGAACGTCAGGCAGGTTGTATCACATTTGGTGTCCTCAGTATCCTGATCAGAAAATAAGGATCTGCTTTATGGAATGTGTGAGCAAAAGGCTCTCTAATGATCCTTTATGATCTTCACCTCCTGGTGTTAATGCCCTCTGAGTGTGAGCAGGGACTGGGAATGGTTCTAACGAATAGAATATGGCAAAGGTGATGGGATTTCACTCTGGTGGTAACATGATACTGTGTAAAGGCACAATCTTGCTAGTAGACTCTCTCAAGATACTTCCTAACAGGGTGTTAAGAGGCAAACAGGCATAGTAGGAAGCTCACAAGTGGCCTCTAGAAGAGAAATTCAGCCTCCAACCAATAGCTAACATAAAGCTAGGATCCCCAGTCTAAAACTGCATGGAGATAAATTCTGCCAACAAACTGAGTGTGCATTTTTTTCTCTACTTAAGAATCTTCTCTACTTTAGCCTTCTGATGAGAATGCAGCCTTTCTGACACCTAAATTAAAGTCTTGTGAGATCTCAAGAAGAGGATTCAGCTAAGTGGTACACAAGTACCTGAACCACCATAAATGTGAGATAGTGTTTGTTGTTTTAAACTCCAGACTCTGCAGTCATGGGTAGTGCAGAGGTAGGAAACCAATAGAGAAAGATGGGAGGATATATATTATTTTGTTCAACAAAAAACACACATTATATATGCAAAAAATGTCAGCAATTGTTACACACATATAGTAAAGTTTGCCTTAACTAGTCTCAGGCATCATGCACAAATAGGAAATTAATTTTTCAAAATTGTTTATCTTTAAATATTTAACATATTTAATAATATATATTAAATGTTATTTTTAATAATTTAATTTTTGAAAACTTGCTAATGTTTTACTGCACACCTGTTCAGAAAGGATGTTACACATTAACAAACATAGCCTGAATCCTCAAAAAATGATTTAATTACAAAACAAGATTTCAAACATTAAGAAGTAAATTTATACACACACGTGTTCACATCAGTGCGCAGATACACACATATAATGCTCTCATAGGATTAATCCACTTATCATGTGTGTGCATATATATATATGTATTAGATGTCTTTTTAAAAATTCTTCTTTGCTGCCAGACTTATAACCAATTGGAGAAATTATTCTAAATGGTGCTTATAACTGCAGCTCCTAACACAGTATGTGGTAGGTAGTAGACACTTTAAAATCATTTCTAAATGGTTTATTTCATAAAAGTATACATTTATATGGTCTATCTAATGTGTCACATAACAATGCATGTAGCTTCTGAGAAATGCATTATTATGTGATTTTCTCATCCTGTGGACATCATAGATTGTACTCACATGAACATAGATGGTATAGCCTACTACAAACCTAGGATACATAGTATAACCTATTTCTCCTAGGCTCAAACCTGTACAGCATATTACTATGTTGAATACTGTAGGCAATTACCACACAATAAGTATTTGTGTAACTAAACTTATATAAGCATAGAAAAATACAGTAAAAATGATTTTTAAAAATGGTACACCTGTGTAGGACGTTTACCATGAGTGGAGCTTGTAGGATTGGAGGTTGCTCTAGGTGAGTCAGTGAGTAAGTGGTGAATAAATGTGAAGGCCTAAGATATTTCTATGAATTACTATTAAATTTATAAACACTGTACATTTGTGTTACACTAACCATATAAAAATATATTTTTCTTCAATAATTAAATTTAGCTTACTGTAACTTTTTTAATACATTTTAATGTTTTAAACTTTTGACTCTTTCATAGTAACATTTGGCTTAAAACAGAAACACATTGAACAGCTGTACAATAAGACTTTTTCTTTATATATGTATTATATGAGCATTTTTACTTGTAAATTATTTAGTTTTTTGAACAGTTTTGTTTAAAATCAAAATAGAAACACACACACTGGCCTAGGCCTACACATGGTCAAGATAATCGATATCAGCATCTTCCACTTTAACATTTGCCCCAGTAGAAGGTCTTTAGGGGCAATAACATGTATGGAGCTGTCATCTCCTATGATAACAATGACTTCTGGAAAACCTTCTGAAGGACTTGCCTAAGGATGTTTTACAGTTAACTTTTTTTTTAAATAAGTAGAAGGCATACACTCTAATGATCAAATTATAGCATAGTACATAAATCAACCAGTAATGTTGTTTATTATCATTATCAAGTATGTACTATACATAATTGCATATTTTCAACTTTATGCTAGAGTTTTATAGGACTTGCAATGCAGTAGATTTGTTTATAACAACATCACCATAAACACATGAGTAAAGCTTTATACTATGATGTTACAATGTCTACATCACTAGGTGACAGACAGGTTTCAGATCCATAATAACCTTATGAGACCACCATTGTATATGTGACCTATTGTTGACAGAAATGTTACGAGGCACATCACTGCATTTAGAGGACACCGATCAAATAACAACTGTGATCCAAGACTTACAGTATAAACTGAGGCTGTAAATCATTTCAATACGATTCTAATCTCTAGCAGTTCATTGTCCAGGACTAGAATTAGATGTACATAAACAAGCATTTACACCATGCTAAGGGCTAATAGACATAGAAAAGTTTAAGAATGCAAAAATGGATAGGCAATTTTCTGGCTAATGGGACCAAGTAAAACTCGGTAGAAATGAAGATTTACATGAAAAGGAGTACACAGGTTGCAAAGTCTAGGAGCAGGGATCATTTGTCTCTTTCCTTCTCAGCACTATAAAGGTTAGAACTCCCATTAGCAAAGGATCTGACAATCTACTGCACAGCCCAATAAGTCTGGGTCTGTTGGCTCACTGGCAGTTTTCTTATATATGAGAGAAAAAGAAAGTTAAAGAGCTATGAACAACAGTTTCATGCCTCCAAATACACAGGTTTTTGACCTGATAATACCGTATGAGCTTTGTCCAGTTTGTTTCAAAAGTCCTTTTTAATCTTTTAGGGAAGAAATGCAAGTATTAAAGAATGTCTTTCCCTGCTTCTTTAACTTCACTCTACCTTCTCATTATTGTATTACTCTTCTCATTATGGTATTACAAAATCATTTTGGGAGGCAGTAAGTTGATATCTTCAGAACACACCACTTCTGTTTTCTGCCACTGTTCCTCTTGATGATAGCTGGCTCTGTTGCCTTAAGCTGTCCAAGTTCTTATTCTATTTTTCCCACCAAACTCCCACTGAATATTATAAAATCCTGCAACCTATTGTGAATTTTAGTTGGTATGCTATCATATATCATTGTGGTTTCAGCTTTTGCACTGATAATGGACTATAAATTCTTCAAACATTCAAGTAGTATGAGGAGCTTGCATCCACCAGCAGGTTGAGGAAGATATTTGAACAGCAGGGTAATGGGTTCCCTCAGTGATCAGACTGGATGCTTGCAATAAGACTGGGATTTTATAGATTTATCTTTGTATATTTGTTTTAGTCTATTGTTTTAAATAAAAGTAACAAATTTAATTTCTGACTTTCTAATTCTCTCATTTTATACGTATCCAAATGCTCTCTCACTCTCTCTCTCTCTCTCTCTTTCTCTCTCTTTTTCTCTCTCTCTCTCCAGGCCAAGCCCTCACAGCATTACATTTCTCACTGTCCTTGAAAAGATAGATGGATAACTTATAACTATAATTATAGATACTCACTGGTGTAATGAAGAGAATTAGAAAATGTGTACACAATAGCAGTGCAGGAGAGAGGATACATAATTGGCAACTATTAATCTAATAGAGAGAAAAAGAGAGGGCCAGAATAATTAACACATGCCACACAGAGTGATCATTTCTGATAAGGATGACTGAAAAGACAGCAGCATTACTTAGCTTTCCCCACTGGCAAAGAAAGCCAGAGTGAAAACAAAATGAATCTTTGGCCCAGACAGCAGCAATCATGTTTACTGAGCTGTGGTGAAAGTAGCCTCTTTATGAATACATTTGGTAATTCTCCTTTAACCCCTGCCTTTACTACTAAAAATGACATATATTCTTGTCTTTTTTAAAAAATAAAATTTTGTTAGTAGCACATTTAAAAAAACACTCAGATTATTATATTTAAATCAAACTTTAGCTAGGAAAATATTTGTCCCTGGACATGATTTGAAAAAAATAAGTAGTCATCCATTTAGGAAGCAGCTCATGTTTATTTGTTCACTCTTTTGGCTTTGTCCTTCTTCTCAAATATATAGCCCATCAAAAAATATCACCACAGTTTAGATAATTGATTTAAATGATCCATAGACAAGGCATACATTCCTCACCATTAATGGGAAGATTCAATCTATTCACATAGGGTACATACAAGAGCTTGAAGTAATAAACATTTACTTATTCCTTTGACTTTCTCGCTACATATAGGTATATATTTATATTCTAATAAAATTAAGCCATTGTTGAATTGTGTAAGAAGTAATTTATTATGATAAATATGAGACAGGCTTGAGAGAGGCATTATTAGAGCCTGTTTAAACTAATTTTTAATAATATCCATGTGACTTGTTAGATGACAAATGGTCAAATGTACCTTTCAAATTCTATATCCTTTTAAAAATGTTCTTGAACTATATTAAAATGTCTAATGGCCACCATGGATAGTTTTATTAGTAAGTCCTCATGCTGTCCTTAGGATTTGTTTCCAAAAACTAGAACATTAAAAACTAGATATATTCATTATGAAATAATTGTTTAATTTTGTTTCTGGAAAGCAATTATTATTCCTTATTTTCTTAAAAAAGACGCCACTATTTATTATTATTTTGTGACTGTTTAGTTATATATTATTGTACCATTCAAGCATGCACAATTATTTGGTTTGAAATTTCAATACATTTTTGGCTCTATATCTAATCCTGAAATATTCTACAAAAGAAATTGAAATATAGCATCCAGCAGCGGGAGACCCTTACTTTTCTGGGTTGAAATATATCTACTTTACTGATGTTTACACCTGATTTTTAATAATTCTTCACCAATTTGTTCATCTGTTTGTCTTTTCTTTTTTTTTTATATTGCTACAATCTTTTTATTAAGGATTTTTCAGACTGCAGTGAATTAAAGGACCAGAAGTTATTTTACTGAAGATAACAACTCTATTATGTTTTTCTATTCGGGGTGTGTGTGTGTGTGTGTGTGTGTGTGTGTGTGTGTGTGTGTGTTTTAAAGTTTAATATAGGAGGCATTTCTTTTTTTTTTATTATACTTTAAGTTTTAGGGTACATGTGCACAATGTGCAGATTAGTTACATATGTATACATGTGCCATGTTGGTGTGCTGCACCCAGTGACTCGTCATTTAACATTAGGCATATCTCCTAATGCTATCCCTCCCGCCTGCCCTCACCCCACGACAGGCCCCAACCCAAATGTCCAACAATAATAGACTGGATTAAGAAAATGTGGCACATATACACCATGGAATACTATGCAGCCATAAAAAATGATGAGTTCATGTCCTTTGTAGGGACATGGATGAAGCTGGAAACCATTATTCTCAGCAAACTACAGCAAGGACAAAAAACCAGACACCGCATGTTCTCACTCATAGGTGGGAACTGAACAATGAGAACACATGGACACAGGAAGGGGAACATCTGTTTGTCTTTTCTTACTTAACTGTTGTATTTTTGTTCCACTGACTTCAGTAACCCTTTACTCAGATTATTTAGGTTTTTTATCTGTATAAACAGTTGAATATTATGTTTAAATCTGTGCAAGAAAAATAGAATATTTTAAAATGTTTGCATATTTCATTATGTCATTTTTTCATTAAAAAAATGACTTACTAAATTAAATCTACTTTATCCAGAAAGCCTAGATTTCATTTACATTCTCCACGTTAATCAACCTGAATACTATCCTTCAGATATTCTGCACTATTTGCTGTTTTCCTGCATAAAATCGTTTGACCACAGCTTCCTTTATTTAGCCATCCTGTGGTTATCCATGAATATTCTACAATGCCCTCAATGCTTATCTAAACACATGGAGATTTTCCTTCTTTGACCCCAACACAATGTGGCAAATTTTTTTTCTTACTGCCCTAAGGCAGTTTTCTATGTGTTCATTTGGACAATTTAAAACCTTTGTGTTTTGTTGTTTTCTTTATTTGTTCTTCTCCACGTGCTTGATTTTATTCCCTTGAAAGGAGAATATATATTTATTTTTTTCTTTAGAGATTTGAACAAGCCCTTAACTATATTAATCTTGTTTTTTTATCTGTAAATAAAAGTTAATAATAATTATGATTTTTTGGGCATTTTAACAAGCTAGATACTGTAGTAAATATATACGTTTTCTCTTTCACTCTTTACAAAAATCCTATGAGATAGTTATAATATTTCTGTCTTACAATGAAAAGCCTTCCCAAAGTTTTGATTCAGGATTGAACGTCAGATCTTCTGATATCTTCCAAATATCTTGATGGTAACTACTAGATCACATATTCATACCTTTATCACAGATTCTAAATAGAAATATATAGAGATCATTTATATATTAGATAATGATTTTTATATTGCTCAAAAAAGCCAAAAATAACTTACACAAATTATCAAATATATATTATATGTAATTAAATATTGGCAGTAAATATCTTTTAAAAGAATTGCACTATAGTTATGGGCCCATTAGAGAACTATGCACACATTAGAGGACTGAGGTCATGGTGCACAAATCAGAATCTGGAGAGATAGGCACATTCCAAGAATCACAGCTGAGATTTGCTTATCTGGAGCAGGAACCACTAGGGCTGTAAACAGCAGGAAACATATTAATACAATTTGATCAAAGGCTGAATGTTGAGTGTAGACTTGAATGACAGTAAGAAATCTCACGGGAATTTTTGCATGGATGTTCATCAAGGATATTGTCTTGAAGTTTTTCATTTTTAGTTGTATTTCTGCCAGGTTTTGGTATCAGGGTGATGCTGGCCTCATAAAATGAGTTAGGACGAACTCTTTCCTTTTCAATTTTTGAAATAGTTTCAGTAGAAATGTTACCAGCTCTTTGTACACCTGCTAGAATTCAGCTGTGAATCCATTTGGTCCTGGGCTTTTTTTGGCTAGTAGACTATTTATTACTGCCTTAATTTCAGAACTCATTACTGGTCTGCTCAGAAATTCAATTTCTTCTTGGTTTAGTCTTAGGAGGATGTATGTCTCCAGGAATTTATCCATTTCTTCTAGATTTTCTAGTTGATGTGCATAGAGGTGTTTATAATATTCTCTGATGGTTATTTGTATTTCTGGGGGATCAGTGGTAATATCCCCCTTATCATTTCTTGTTGTGTTTATTTGAATCCTCTCTTGTCTGTTTTATTAGTCTAGCTAGTGGCCTACCTATTTTATTACTTTTTTTTTCCAAAAAAAGCTCCTAGATTTGTTGATCTTTTGAAGGTTTTTTTGTGGCTCTATCTGTTCAGCTCTGATCTTGGTTATTTATTGTCTTCTGCTTGCTTTGTGGTTTTTTTGCTCTTGGTTCTCTAGTTCTTTCAGTTGTGATGTTAGGTTGGTAACTTGAGTTCTTTTGAGCTTTGTGATGTGGGCATTTAGTGCTATAAGTTTCCCTGTTAACACTGCCTTAGCTGTGTCCCAGAGATTCTAGAACATTGTATCCTTGTTCTCATTAGTTTCAAAGAACTTCTTGATTTCTGCCTTAATTTCATTATTTACCCAAAAGTCATTCAGAAGCAGGTTGTTCAATTTCCATGTAATTGTATGGTTTTGAGTGAATTTCTTAGTCTTGAATTCTAATTTGATTGTGCTGTGGTCTGAGATACTTTTTGTTATGATTTTAGTTCTTTTGCATTTGCTGATGAGGGTTTTCCTTCCAATTATGTGATAAATTTTAGAGTAAATGCCATGTGGCAATGAGAATAATGTATATTGTGTTTTTTGGGGGGTTGAGAGTTCTCCCATTTTGGAAGACAGTATGGCGATTCTTCAAAGACCTAAAGACTGAAATACCGTTAGACTCAGCAATCCCATTACTGGGTATATACCCAAGGAAATATAAGTCTTTCTGTTATAAAGTCACATGCACATGTATGTTCATTGCAGCGCTATTCACAATAGCAAAGACGTAGAACCAAACTAAATGCCCATCAATGATAGCCTGGATAAAGAAAATATGGTACATATACACCATGGAACACTATGCAGCCATAGAAAGGAATGAGATCATGTCCTTTGCAGGGACATGGATGAAACTGAAGGCAATAATCCTTAGCAAACTGATGCAGGAACAGAAACCAAATACCGCATGTTCTCACTTATAAGTGGGAGCTAAATGATGAGAACACATGGACACACAGAGGAGAACAGCACACACTGGGGACTACCAGAGGGTGGAGGTGGAAATGGAAGGAGGGGCAGGATCAGGAAAAAACAGCTAATGGGTACTGGGCTTAATACCTGACTGATGTACAACAAACTCCCTTAACACACATTTACCTATGTAACAAACCTTCACACACTGCACATGTATCCCTGAACTTAAAATAAAAATTTAAAAATAAATAAATATCTGTCTTCATAACCTTGAATTAGACAATGATCTCCTAAACATGTCATTGAAAGCAAAAAGCAACAAAAGAAAAAATATATATTTGACTTCACCAGATTAAAAACTTTTATACAAAAAAAACACCATTAAGAAAGTGAAATGAACCCACATAAAGGTACAAAATATTTGCAATTCATATATCTGATATAGGTCTAATCCAGAATATATAAAGACTGCTTACAACTCAATAACAAAAAGACAAACAACCCAGATAAAATTTGGACAAAATATTTGAATAGGTAGATCTCCAAAAAAGTATGTACAAATAGCTAATAAGTGCATGAACAGATCCTCAACATCATTATTCATTAGAGAAATGCACATCAAAACCACAATGAGACACCATTTTGCATGCACCAAGATGGTTATAATCTCTTCTAAAATGGAAAATAACAAGTGTTTACAAGGACGTGGGAAAATTGGAACCCTCATATATTGCTGGTGGGAATGTAAATGGTACATCCATTGATAAAAACTGGAAAATAGTTTGGCAGTTTCTCTTTTGAGAAGTGTCTGTTCATATCCTTCACCCACTTTTTGATGTGCTTCTTTGTTTTTTTCTTGTAAATTTGTTTGAGTTATTTCTAGATCCTGGATATTAGCCCTTTTCAGATGAGTAGATTACAAAAATTTTCTCCCATTCTGTAGGTTGCCTGTTCACTCTGATGGTAACTTCTTTTGCTGTGCAGAAGCTCTTTAGTTTAATTAGATCCCATTTGTCAATTTTGGCTTTTGTTGCCATTGCTTTTGGTGTTTTAGACATGAAGTCGTTGCCCATGCCTATGTCCTGAATGATATTGCCTAGGTTTTCTTCTAGGGTTTTTATGGTTTTAGGTCTAACATCTAAGTCTTTAATCCATCTTGAATTAATTTTTGTATAAGGTGTAAGGAAGGGATCCAGTTTCTCAAAATGTTAAACATGGAGGTACTAAATGAGCCAGCAATTCAACTTCTAGGTATAAGCCCAAAAGAAATGAAAACATGTGTCCACACAAAAACTGTATTCAAAAGTTCATGGCACCATTATTCATAATACCCAAAAGTAGAAACAACTAAAATGTCCATCGACTAGTGAATGGGTAAACAAAATGTGTTATATTCAAAAATTGGAATATTATTTGACCATAAAAAGAAAGGAAGTACTGATACATGCTACAACAGGCATGAACCTTGAAAACATTGCACTAAGTGAAATGAGTTAAACGCAAAATGCCACATAATTATAATTCCATTTATAAAAAAAAATCTATTATAGGAAAATTCATAGAGACAGAAAGTAGATTAGGGGCCGGGGGCAGTGGAGTAAAAGCGGCTGCTAACAGACATGGAATTTCTTTTTCTAGAATGATCCATGCAATGCAGGATTAGGGTTGGAGACAAAAATATGAACTTATGCTAGTGTAACAGTGATGCAGAAGATACACAGTGAAGCATTAACAGACAGCGTATACACACACAGGTTAGTATACGCACATATATTTGCTTGGTCTGTCAGTTGAGAAGCCCTAGAGGCCATATGAAATTCTAGTAACAGTGAACATACCTAGCTCACAAATATTGTTTTATGCCAATCTCTAATAAAACAAACTACAGCCTCTTGAAGAAATGATTAGTTTTAGGACGGGAACAGAAAATACACAAGACAAAACTGGAACATCTTCTAGTACCGAAAAGTAAGAAATGCTCAAACCTATATACCACAGTGAAGGGATTCCAGGGCAACTGAAAAAGACCCTAATACCCAAGGCTACAAAAATTGTGATCAATAAAATAAAAGAGTATTAGATAATAACCACAGTTTGAAATAAATATGTGTCAATACTATTATAAATAAATGCTAAGGGGAGAAGAAGCCACAAGAATCCCACACAGAATTATTTCAAATAATTACGTAGGTGCTCCGTATCAAACAAGTAGAGCCTAGTTTCCTACGCTTTAAGTGTGGACTACACTTTGTGACTTGCTGCCTGTGAGTACAGTATATGAGAAATGAAAAAGTAAATTTACAGTGGAGAAACCTGTGAAACACTACATTAGCCATGTGATGAAGGTAAGCATCCACAGTGATATGTTATGAAAGTGTGTAGCCTTGCACATGTGTACAAATGTAACAAACCTGCACGTTGTGCACGTGTACCCTTGATTTAAAGTATAATAAAAAAGAGAAAAAAAAGAAAGTGTGTAGCCTTAATATAATTTGACGAAAATGGCACTTTATTTCTGTTGTCTTCCTTCCCCCAGACATTAATTGAATCAATAAAAATATGACACAATCCCACATTGAAAGCGAATCTGTAAAGCACTTGACCAATATATTTTAAAACTGTCAAGGTCATTAAAAGCAAGGAAAGACTGAGAACAGACACATGCAAGGGGAGCACACGGAGACATGACTATCAAATATTATTTGGTATGACGGAAGAGATTCTCAGATAGAAAAAGGAGCTTAGGTAAACATGGAGGGCATATAAATAAAGTACGGCCTTTAGTTAATAATGTATCAATATTGTTTCTTACTAACGTAAGAATTTATGAATTCTTACATTAGTAAGATGAATTTATCTTACCAATATAAGATTTTAATAATAGGGAAAACTGCATTTAAGGTATTTGAATATTATGTGTATCATTTTCAATTTTATTTAAATATACAACTCTTCTAAAAATAAAACACATATTTTAAAAGATAGGCAAATGATTTGAAGACATATTTTACCTAGGAAGATGTGTGGATGGCAAAGAAGCATATGGAAAGTTGCTCAGTTGATCCATAATGAATAATTCCTATATACCTATTGGAATGAAAAGGATTAAAAAGACTGACTGCACTGCATGTGGGTGAGGATATGCAGAAATCAAATCTCTCATACTCTGCTGATGGGGATTTAAACTGGCACAACTTTTGATAGAAGGATGAAAGTTTCTTAAAAGTTAACAATTTACTCAATATGTAATCTAAGTATTTCATTCCTATGCATTTACCCTGTGTCTCTATCTCCACCTTACTTGTTACACCAGTATAGGCTAATGGGTTAATAATTTTGAAACCACTTTTTTTCTCTTTCTCTCCCTCTCTCGTGACAACCCCACCTACACACACTTTAAACAGTTATGCTAAAATTATTATTCAGTACAAATGATTTTGCTTAAGGAATGAAAGTTTAACCATTCCTTTGACATTGAGCTTATGATTCCTTCGGGAAGATGTAGATATTGAAGATTGATGTAGATATCAAAATCTTAGAGATTAACTAGTAAATTGCTCTCACTTTACAACTAAATGTACTGAAAGAAAATTGTCTCTAAGTAGCTAGTCCTGAGTCTTGCTTGCAGTAACAGTAGAAAAATAAATAACATTCAGGCCTGCCACTTTCTCTTCTTATAACTTGTGGAACTGTCATTGAGTTACAATAGTGTATGTATACATCCCTAACCAATGTACTGTATTAATTTCCACATTTTTGAACTTTTTACCTATGATATTAAACTGTTTATAATCATTTTTGTTTTTTTAATCTATGTTGATGAGTATAACTTCAGTATGTTTATTTTAACTGTTTTATAGTGCCACATTCCTTTTACAATACATGTAAGAATATAACACAAATGGGTTTTTTGACTATAAACTTATATGCAGCTACTGCACTCAAAGAAATCTAAAACATGTTTTTCTTTTACCCAGTGGGGAGGGCAAGAAAGAGGGATATGCAGTAGGCAGAAATTCATACTTGGAAAAAAACTCATTTTGGAAAATGGCAATGTCCTTTAGGTAAATATTTAAGGTGTTTGCCATTTTATACATGTGTATTAATATATGTAACCTTTTTACATGTTTCCTTCTTCACATATACAAGTCTCTTGTCTGAAAGGAATTGTCCTAGGAATATAAATGCTTGTTCACAAGTAGATGCGTCTTTGACTTTACTAGATAAAGTGAAGTTCTTTGAAAGTGGATTTTTCACTTTAAATACACAATAGCAATGTATCAGAGTCTGCAGTACCCACATGGACTAGCCATGGTATAATCCTACCCACCAATGTGAAAATATTTTGAGAGGAATATGGGAAAAACAGAAAATTCACAGGATACTGTGAATATATGAAAATTTTGTTATTTAATAGTCTAGAATATAGATATGGGATAATGATGAGATACTTTCATATGCATTTCATGTAAAATATATTAACTATTAAATATAACTTTAAATGTACAGTTATGGAAATATTTGCATTGTATTTTAGACAAATCCTTTTGACAAATTGGCTGCGAGCCACACCGTAAATATTATGGAGCATGAATGCAAAATGCCCTCTAAGTCTTTTTATCTTGGGCAATACTCTTTCTCTGGCTCAACTTTTACCACTAAAAACGGAAATGTTAATATCTGCCTCATATGCTTGTTGTGAGAATCAAATTTTTTAAAAGTATGCAAATAACTTGCTCAACACAGTCAGCAACATTAAATGTTAGCAACATTGTTATTACTATCATTATAATTATTACTGAGAAATAGCAATTCAGTTCATAAAGATGTAAATGTTGATCCTATTTTCTAGCTGCATTGATCCTGAGAAGTAATACTATTGTGTTTCACCACAGAACTGTTTTTAGATAAATTGTCTATGGTCTAGAATGCTTAGATAAACTAAGAGGGAAATCTACTGGTTCTGGCATAAATGCTTACGTAAGAGACCAAGCAACTGTCTTCTAAGGCAATAGTAGTCAATATTAAGTCCAAGAAAGTTCAACTATTCAGGAATTAATGAGATGTCGTGTAAGCTGGCAGTTGTTTCAGGATCTGGGCAGTTATTGAAAGAAGCATAGTAGAATAAATCATATATAAATCCTCCTTAAATTGGAGTTTGATAGCCATTTGGTATGGTTTGGCTGTGTCCCCACCCAAATCTCATGTTGAATTATAGCTCCCATAATTCCCACACGTTGTAGGAGGGACCCGGTGGGAGATAACCGAATCATGGGGACAGTTTCCCCCATAGTGTTCTCACGGTAGTGAACAAGTTTCATGAGATCTGATAGTTTCATAAGGGGAAACCCCTTTCATTTGGCTCTCTCATTCTCCCTTGCCTGCCGCCATGTAATACATCCCTTGCTCTTGCACCATGATTGTGAGGCCTTCCCAGCCACGTGGAACTGTGAGTCAACTAAACCTCTTTTGTTTATAAATTACTCAGTCTTGGGTATGTCATTATTAGCAGCGTGAGAACAGGCTAATACATTAATCTGTCATTAGTATTTAACATAAGAGTTCTACATATCATTAGAGCTGGTGTCCTAGTTTTAAAATACTCTCTCATAAAGAACTATGAATCTTTGAGAGAATAAATATATTTTGTCTTAAATAAAGCACAGAATGGCTTTAAGATATTTTTAAGAAAGACATTCACTCTATGTATGTGCATATAGAGGCAGGAATGCAGGCATAGAGGGATTCACAAATTGATAGCTGATGCTGATAATGATAGATATAGATAGATTAGAGGAGTCAATTAACTGCTGAAAATAAAATAATTACAATAAAAATATCATATGTGTTAATAGCTAACATTTATAAAGTTGTTACTGAGCTCCATATACTGTGTAAGATTTTCTATAAACTGTCCTCCTTAACTACCATAATAGATCTCTGTGAAAAATATGATTGGTTTCTTTTATTTCACAGATGAGTAAATTGAGTATATAGAGATTAAATAACTTACTTAAGACCGTAAATAGTGAGGATAGAGACAAGATCACAAGCCTCTTCTTTCAGTCACCAAAGCCCACAGTTTTAGTCCTATTCCTCAGCTGCTGACAAGAATAACTAAGTCATCTGAAACATTTTCCATACAATAGTAAACCCCAAATTTGTCTATTCTTAGACATTCAATGTTTGGTTATAACATTTAGATATCTTGGAGGATTTGTTCTTATTCTATAATGAATCAAATGTCTTAAATGGGAAGGACCAGATGGTAGTATTCAATCCTTAAGTAAATTTGAAATTTTGAGAAGGAAATAAGAAAGGAAGAAAGAAAGAAGGGAAGGATGAAAGGAAGAAAGGAAAAAAGGAGGGAAGGGAAGACTGAAGGAAGGGAGGGAGGGAGGAATGGAGGAAAGAGAGTGAAAAAAATGAAAAAAAATATTAAATGTCTTAATGCCTGCTGAACTACCTATAAATATTCTCAAAGTTTGTCTTTGGTACATCAATAAGGATCAAAGAGGAAATAAATCATACTCAATTTATTTACTATAGCAACTTTAAAATATAATCAGGATTCATTTCCGTTGAAATTCTGTTGATGACTTGCATACAAAAAGTGTAGAATATATAACTAAAGTCAGTTTCTCTGGATGTTGATTTTCTACTATGTAAAATAAGAAGGCTGACTTACATGATGTTTCTAATTCTAACATTCAATGATTTTCTCTACATATCATGTTGGAGTGAAGAGGGAGGGGAAGTAAGAGATCAGCACAAAGAATGTTAAGAAAATAAATGGACTAGTGAATTCATAATTATTTTCATGACTACCACAAGGCATAATGAAGAATCACTGTGATTCTACTCTATAGAAATTTCAGTGCTCTCTGCTGCACTGAGTATTAGAAAAAAAATTATGCAAGCACCATTTCCTACATTTACAAATCTATACAGACTAATTAGCAATTAAATGGAAATTTTAATAAATGCTATGAATCAAGCCTAATTGTATATGCTGTCAGCTAGCTGTGATATGAGAAATGCCATTCCATATTTTTTCTCTATTACTCTAAATAATTGAGAATAAAGTGGGTGTGAATTGCATAACACTTCCTCTGTACTTCAAAAACATCAAGGAAATTCACAAGTCTTCTATTTACTATGAAACATTAATCAATTTTACATTTTCATAGATATGAATATGAAACCAAGCAGATGATAAAAATATGTCTTATTCTGAATGGTGTCACAGTAAAATGAATACATTCTTTCAGGGAACAGAAATTAGCTTTCAGCTGTAACATGTGTATGTTCATGCTCCAGGCACCTAGACTATAATTCATATAATAATAATAGTAGTGTAAAAAATCACTTGAGCATAATAGATTATCCACTTGTATCCCATTTTGTAATTTATGCTAATATGAATCATCGTGACCTCATCTGATAGGCAAATAACACTGTGACATTCTTTTATTTTTAGTTGTCGAATAATTTTATAGAAAGGACTACTGTTCCATCTAAAATGATGATATTGTTATCCTAATAGCCAATAATTGGCTCCTTTCTTTATAGTTCTAAGTATTTTCTCATTTTAAAGGAGCAAGATCTAGAACATACTATTGAAATAGCTTCTAAATAAGCTTTAGATTATAAATCACAAGACAAATGTGAAATATTGTTACCATGCTTATTCCAATGCTCAATTGGTAAAATAAGTTGAAGTCAATTTAATCAAGTAAAGAAATATAGTTTAGTGATTTCCAGAAAAGACAGATGGTACATAATATTAAACATCATTTTTAAATTCTATTTTGATTTCTAGTTGGGGTATTTTGGGTTTAATTTCTGATATATTTATAATAAATGCACTTACAAATGTTTGGTGTAGTTGTGGGATTCTACTTACTCAAAAAGATACTTGTGCATTAACCACACTTTTGTAATGTTAAAATTATAATTGAGACATTCAGTATCTCTCTTCATTATGTATCCCTTTATATAAGTGTAATAATGTAACCTATAAATGTGGGGCACAGCAAGTTTGTGGAACGGATGGAATTCAAACTCTGTTATTCTTTATTTCCTCTTAATTTCCGTATCATATATGTGAAGACTCCAACATTTTCTTTGATAATTTTCTTTTATTACCAAACATTTAGGTAATATCCTTAACTCATGCTAGTGTAAAAATAACTGATAGTACAGTTTACTATTCTACAGTAACATATTTTAACATAAAATTTTCTGAGTCATTGAAACTATTGTCATGGACTGCTTAAAGACAGAGATATGTTAGAAGAAATGCATCGTTAGGCAATTTTGTTGTGGTGGGAACATCATATTGTACTTACACAAACCTGGATAATTTAGCCTACTACACACCTAGGCCATATGGTATAGTCTATTGTTCCTAGACGATACACCTACTGTACATCAAGTTACTGTACTGAATACTGTAGGCAATTATAATACAATGGTAAGTATTTGTGTATCAAAACATATCTGAAGATAGAAAAGGTACGGTAGAAATACAGTACTACAATATAAGGATGTGTATGTGATCTGTCATTCACGGAAATGTTATATGGTGCATGGCTATATGTTAATCATATTACAGTAGAGAATCATAAAGTAACAAAGACCATAGTAAGAGGTGGTTTTTGTTGTTGTTATTGTTTTTAATGTTTACTCTATAAAGTGAGAAAAAAATAAAAGAATACACAGGATGACAGTTAATTTGCTGTTTCAAATATACTAGGCTAAATGATGCCAAGGAGGTGGTAAACATTATTTCTGGGTGTATCTGTGAGTGTTTTCAGAAGAGTTTAGCATTTGAATCAGTAGACTGAGTAAAAAAGATCCACCTTCACCAATGTGGGGGGCCTCACCCCCAATCTGTTAAGGGATAAAATAGAACAAAAAGGTGGAGAAAGGGCAAATTGTCTCTCTTCATATATATTCTTGAACTGGAACATCTATCTTCTGCCTTCAGACATCAGAGTTCAGAGTTCATGAGTTCAGAGTTCATGGTTTGAACTCAGAGTGAATTACACCACTGGGTTTCCTGGTTCTCCAGCTTGTAGGCAGCAGATGATGAGTCTTCTTAGCCTCCATAAACCGATGAGCCAATTCCCATAATGAATCTTCTCATATAGATACATAGATAGATAGATAGATAGATAGATAGATAGATAGATAGATAGATAGATACAGATACATACCTCCTATTGGTCTGTTTCTCTGGAAACTTTGACTAATACATGCAACTTTGAAAATATATATAGTAGCCAGCCTCCAAGATAGCTCCTAATGAGCCTCAACTTCTGTTCCTCAAACATTTATGAAAGGCCCTCCCACACTGTATCAGCATCAATCTATGTAATCAATATAATATGACATAAATGAATTTATGTGACTTCTGAAGCACAATTATAAAATCTGTTGCAGCTTCTAGTGTGCTTTCCATGTATCAGTAGCTCTGAATGAATCAGATATTTAGCTATGATGACATGCAAACAATGCAATGAATTTCATGCTATAAGTAACAACCCCTAACAATAGCTGGCACCAGCTTGCTATCTAAGCTACATGAATGAGCCCAGTTGGAAGCACATTCTCTAGGCCCACTCAATTTTTAAGTAAACTGCAACAAAGTCTGACATCTACCTGCAACTCATGAGTGAACTTAAGCCAAAACAACCCTGTTCAATCCTACATTTTTGACTAATACAAACTGTGAAAAAATAAATATTAATATTGTTGTTTAACTCACCAAAAGTTGAGGTAATTTGATTTCCAAAATAGAAATCTAATAGAAGTAAGAAGTAGTAGTTAAAATTATTACTGTTCTTATGTCATGATGTAATTTTTCTATTAAAATTCAAGTTTCTACACACTGAATTTTATAATTTATCAGGTTACTTAATGATATATTATTATACATGATTATAGGACTTTCTTGACTTAACAAACACGATGTAGCACTTTGGGATCTATCAACATTTTCATTTGCTTTTTTTTTTCATTTTTGTTTATAAAAACTGTCTTTTGAATCAAAGTTCCCAAGATCATGGCATTTTCCCTCATATTCCCATTTCCTTCGAACATTTTAATATGCCACATATTTTGCTGATTGTCAACCTTATTACAGTTGGCATTATAAAAAAAATTACCTATTAAACAGTAAGCAGTACTTAATGAAATTTCTATTAATGACTTTGTTTAGAGGAATGAACCTGTGGGATATTTGTTTAAAGCTAAATGGATGAAGGAAAATAAAAATTATAAGTAAGATAAAGGATTGTAAAGTATACCTAATAGAAAATTGTAGTAACTTGACTTTTCTATGATGCTCTTTCTTAATTACTAACTGACATTTAAAGTAAGTTCATAAAAATTGTTTTTTCTCTGGATTCAGCTTTACTTGTAAAATTTACAAAGCATATCTTGGTTTCTATGTTAATTAAATTGAAATCAGTGGGTTTTGCTATGTGCATTTTAAGATACAATAAAATGTAAATCCAATATTCAATTTAGTTTAAATTATTATGAAGGTGTCCAATTAGTTTTTTTCAAAAAATATGGAAAAATTTCCTTTTTCTTTAACAGAAATGAACCAGAAATGAAATTCCTTTATTCCTCATTTTACATCACCAACTATTTTGTTACTCAAATGGAATATTTCACTAATATAGTAGATATTAAAAGTTACTTTAGAAAAATAAAAGTAAATTTGGCTCAAACAAAAGTAATTTAAAATAAAATTATTTTCTGCCCAACCTCATTGTTAAGAAGAATTTGAAAATTAAAGCCATAAATACTATTTTAAACTTCCTCAACAGAAGGAAATTAAAGTGTTTGAATTACTAAGCATTAGTAAAGATATGGACCAAAGAATGCCTTAGTGTTTTATGGTGGCAGTAAAATGAATGCAAATCAATTTAGAAAATGATTTGAAGTCAACCAGCAAAACTGAAGTGGCACTCTAATGCATTTTCTTTAGAGAAATTTTTATTCATATATATGAGCAAAATTTCTCTAAAGATAATAAACATATATGTATATATACACACATATGTATGTATGAAGACATGGCTCAATATGCTCATAACATTTTACAATACAAAATACTCTAATAACTCAAATACTTATAAACAAAAATAGAAAAATAAAGGAATTTTCATACAATCAAATATTAAAGAGCAGTAAAAAATAAGTGAACCAGAATCACGTCAATGTGACTGATTTTCGGGAGCATAATGTTGAGTGGAAGAGCAAGTTATCAAATATCACAAGTATAATTTAACATAATAAAATTTCAAAAACAGGCAAAATCGATTCTGTATAATGTCTGTATATTGCTTAGGGGTATTAGGTAAAGGAATGGCAAGCACAAATTTAAGGATGGTTTTCTGTGAGTGTGAGGAGATATAAACAAGATACACCAAAGTTGTTGGTAATGTTCTATTTCTTATGTTGTGTAGTATACATATGACATTCACTCTATGTTTTTATCATATTTATTTACATATTCATTTGAATATGTATCTATGTGTATGTAAATATATTAAATACTGATAATCCTTTATGTAAATGTATGTCGATATCTGGAATTTAAACCAATGTCATTCTGGATTTGCAAATCGTGTATACTGTACACTATAACACAATAACTTATTTTGAAAAGCTACCCATTATAAAAAGCCACTGGAACATCCACTGTTGTAAAAAAATATAGAAATCCCTTAATTCATAAATATGGAGTGGATATGACTTAAGAGAAATTAAATATTGAGAAAGTATTTGAAAAGGAGTAACTCAGTTTAAATTGCTTTGGTAAAACATGTAGAGCTCGCCACACAATCAAAGTGGCAACACAGGAAACAGACATCAGAAAAATCAATACAGTGTTAGGTTACATTTAATCATGATTGGTGTGAGTTGGCTTATATTACTTCATATGACAAAACTCTAGTTGCTGGAGTCAAAGGAAAAAGAGAATGGGGTGGAGAAGTGGGAAGAAGAAAAGAGGAAAAACATAACCACACACAAAATAAGGATAAGTAGAAATTTAATATGTAGAAGAAAAAATTATTTCCTGTAAATTTTCATGTATGTAATAAAATTTAATTTATAATCATGTAATATTAATGGTAAGTAGCTTACAAATTAGGATAAGAAACAAATTATCTAAGTTATAGAGAAAGTTATAGGGATATCCTTACAAATAATGATAAGAAACAAATGATCTAAGTTATAGGTGTTTACCACTAGGAAAGTTACATTATTGCGTTTGAGTCTAAAGTCAAAATATTGTCAGACTCACTAAAGTAGATACTGACCTTCTATATCAGTAGAGCATGAAATTATCTGTCCTGTACGCTTTTTTTCATAATTCGTATTGCTTCCTCAGACAAGATCATACACGAGTATGAGTGTAATAAAATGTTAAGGCAGGACATTTATCTTGGCTTTAGGATCATAAATCAGGAGTACGAAAAGAAACCCTCTTAGGAGTCATTTGCATTAAACAATGCACCGCGATTTTTACGGTTAAATGCTATCGTAGTCACAGATCGTAAAACACAATCATGCTTACCGAGTTATGGTTATCTTTCCAAAGCCTTGAAATATAAATGGTATACGCAGGAACAGACTTTGAACAAGATTACTATAAATGAAACATATATCTTAAAATATTTAACCTTAAAGCTACCTAAAATGGCGTCTCATTTGTAAAATCATAACCAAAACGACCTTCAGTATCTGTGTAATATCCATTACTCTGTTGTCTGAATAGGGTCTCTGATCTGAGCATTGTTACATTCCATGAAAGGAGCAAAGCCATGAACAGGAACACAGGTTTTATAGGAAACTCTATGGTTCTTCCATGAGGTATCACTAAGGGGGAACAGAAGACAGACAAACAACTCTTGAAGTCCTATGATGCATGAGGCTGACTGTACCGTAACCATCTTTGTTAAGCTACTTGGGCTATTGTTAAAGAGATATAATTTGAAAGTGAACTTTAATGATTTTTAGAACAGAGTGTAACGTCCAGCACACCAATTCCTGCCTCCAGCAAGCTCTGAGACTTCAGGAAGCTGCCTTAGGGGCGTTTTCTAAGACTAGTCCTCATTCTTCGGCTAAATGCGTTCAGAAACATTGGATCGATTTTCAGGAAATTTTTACACTCTGCATTTGTAACATATATAACTGTAACATCTGAAAGAGCTAATGTGTCTGTCATTTTAGAAAGCAATAGTGAAAAATTCTATCATTTTTCATCAAACCTTCAAGAGGCTATATGTATTTTTTTCTTGTTTATACAATGCTATGGATGTACTACTTTAATATCCATTCTTTGAAATACACTATCCAACACTTCCTTTTCACCAAGCTATGTAGAATATATAAACTGTGTGTCAGCTACTATGAACAATGTTGACATAAAACCAAAACTACAAAAACCTATTTCGCTATCCATTCACTTCCCATCACAGATGTAATTATCTGAGAAAATGGGCTCTCTTTCATAGTCAACTCTGCTTGTAGCCTCATACGAGCTAGAAAGAGTTGTTTCAGTTTTTCTTGTCCTTAAGAAAATAAAGCTCTGCTGTTTTGGAATCCAATTTGCTCTGGGAATAACTTTCAAACTAGCAAATCTCCAAGCTTGATGTCTGTTTGTTCCTCACTCATTTCCCCATCTTAGCCCCACCTCCATAAGGATTCTTTCCTAAATCCTGCTTTGGTTCTTTTGTTTTTTTTGTTTTTTAAATAATTGCTGTTGAACAAAAGGTTTTATAAATGTTTAAAATACATTTTCTCTCCTATAAGTTTCTCCACGCTTTCAATGTCGCAATTTTGATAATAAAAATCATGCAATTTTGGTAATTCTGTATTTCCTTTCATCTATTTTCAATCCATTTTACTGCCATATTCTGTAAGTAAAATCAAATGCATTTGATTTTAAGTACATATATAGAGAAGTTTTGATAAACATATGTATCAGGGCAATCACTGTCACAACAAGGGAATTATAGAATATTCCCATCATTCCAAAATATTACCTTGTGTCCCTTCCTAGTCAAGATCCCATACCACCCCCAGCCCAGGAAATGATCCCACTAGCTTTCTTCTCCTATGGATTACATTTGTTTATTTTTAATCCGTTTGGTTTTTTTAGAAGTACATATAAATGACATTGTACTCTTTTATGTATTCTTTAAACTGAACTGTTATAGCTGAGTTTAACATCTTAAGAGTTATCCATGTTTTTGCATGAGTCAATATTTCATTTCTTTTTATTGGTAAATGATATTTCATTGTGTAAATATATTATCCTTTATTTATTTATTAATTCACCTGTTGATGGACATTTAGATTGTTTATTAGGAGTAAAGCTGATATGAACTTTTGTGAGTAATTCTATTTTTTAGTAATTTCAACTTTTATTATAAAGAGCTCACATGCATGTTTGTTACATGGGTCAATTATGTGATACTGAGGCCTGGGGCCTCTGCCCATCACCCAGGCAGTAAGCAAAATACCCAACAGGTGGTTCTTCAGCCCACACCTCCCATCGCTTCCTCCCCCATCTAGTGGTACTGTGTGTATCGTTCCCATCTTCATGTCTACATGTATTCAGTGTTTAGCTCCAACTTACAAGTGAGAACAGGTTGTTTTTAGTTTTCTGTTCTTGCTTTACTTTGCTTATGATAACAGCCTCACCTTCATCCATGTTGCTGCAAAGGACATGATCTCATTCTTTTGATGGCTGTGTAGTATTCCATGGCGTATATTGTACCACATTTTCTTTTTCCAATCTACTGTTGATGCACACCAAGGTTGATTCCATGTCTTTGCTATTGTGAATAGCACTGCAGTGAGTATATGGGTGCATGTGTCTTTTTGAAGGAATTAATTATTTTCCTATGAGTATAAAACCAGTAGTGACATTTTTGGATCAAATGGTAGGTGTAATTTAAGTTTTTTGAGAAATCTCCAAACTGCTTTCCACAGTGGCCAAAGTAGTTTGCATTCTCACCAACAGTGTATAAGTATTCCTTTTCCTCAGAGGACTTTTTAATAATTGTCATTTTTACTGATGTGAGATGGTATTTCATCATGGTTTTGATTTACAGTCTCTGATGATTAGTGATGTTGAACAATTTTTCTTATATATTTGTTGGCTGCTTACATATCTTCTTCGGGGAAGTATCTGTTGATGTCCTCTGCCCATTTTTTAAATTGGATTTTTTGTCTTTTGCTTGTTGATATGTTCAAGTTTCTTATAGATTCTGGATATTAGACCTTTCTGAGCACATGTTCTACTTCAGCTAGGAGTGAAAGAGCTGGCCCATTTGTTTAAGTTTATGCTAACTTTTAGAATGTATATTAAAGTAGTCATACAATTTTTTACTGTCATCAGCAACATACGGGAATTCTAGTTGTTCCACATCTTTGTCATCCTTTGGTATTCTCAGTCTTTAATTTTTAAGCGTTCTAAATGTGTAGTCGATTGTGTGTTGGTATCTAGTTGTGGTTTTAATTTACGCTTCCTGAAGAATAATGATTTTAAGCATTTGTTAATGTGTATGCTGGCCATTCCTGTATATTCTAAGTGGATGTGGCATTTAAATGTTTACTCATTTGAGCATTCAGTTGTATGTCTTATTATTGAGTTTCAAAGTTTCCTGCATATTCTAGATTAAAGTCCTTTGTCAGATATATGTTGTAAAGGTTAATTATATGTGTTAACTTGGCTGGAAAATGGTTTCCAGATATTTGCTAAAATATTATGCTGGGTGTTTCTTTGAGGTATTTTTGGATGAGATTAACATTTATATCTGTGAAATTTATTTTGAGTAAAGTATATTATCCTCCATAATGTGGGTGGACCTCATTCAATTAGTTGAAGTTAGCAGAACAAAGACTGAACTCCCTGAACAGAAGAAATTCTGCTAGCAGATTGCCTTTGGACATGAACTATTACTCTTTCTTGGGCAGTCTACCAAATTTACCAATCCTTCATGATCATGTGAGTCAATTTCTTACAATAAATCTGGGTGTGCATGTGTATGCATGTGTACCCATCCTATTGGTTCTGTTTCTCTGGAAAAGTGTGTGTGTGTGTGTGTGTGTGTGTGTGTGTGTGTGTGTGTGTGAATTATGAGTAATGTATTCAAGACTGAGGCTTGATTTTCATTCTCATTAATTCATAGTGCCTATTGAAGAGTAACGTTTGAATTGTGATAAAGTACAATATTTCACTTTTGTGAAAGGCTAGAACTTTTTAAATTCCATCTGAGAAATCTTTGCTATGCAAAGGTTATAAAGGTTTGCTCCTTTCCTCTCTGCTATTAAGTTTTTTGTTGGTTTAGCTTGTATGTTTAGGTCTGTTTTGAGTAAAATGTAGTAAGATCAAGGTTATTTTTTTTCCCACACAGATCGCTATTTTCCCACCATTATTTGTTGAAATAGCTAGTCTTTCTTTTTGAATTATCTTGGCACACTAGTTGAAAATCAGTTGACTATAGATATGGAAGAATATTTCTAAACTCTTTGGTTATATTATCTATGACTATCCTGATGCCAGTATCCTCTAGTTTGATCACTGTAGCTTAATTGTAAGTCTTGAAAACAGGTAATTCAAGTTTTTCTTCTTTTTTATTTATTTTTTTTAGGTATCAGAAAAATGTAGAAATTTTAATTTTCAAAAAGCTCCAACTGATAATTTTTTCTTCCATTATTATTGGTTTTTGTACTGTTAATTCTCTTTTTTATTTTTTTATTATTATTACACTTTAAGTTTTAGGGTACATGTGCACAATGTGCAGGTTAGTTACATATGTATACATGTGCCATGCTGGTGTGCTGCACCCATTAACTCGTCATTTAGCAATAGGTATATCTCCTAATGCTATCCCTCCCCCCTCCCCCCACCCCACAACAGGCCCCGGATTGTGATGTTCCCCTTCCTGTGTCCATGTGTTCTCATTGTTCAATTCCCACCATTGAGTAAGAACATGCGGTGTTTGGTTTTTTGTCCTTGTGATAGTTTGCTGAGAATGATGGTTTCCAGTTTCATCCATGTCCCTACAAAGGACATGAACGCATCATTTTTATGGCTGCATAGTATTCCATGGTGTATATGTGCCACATTTTCTTAATCCAGTCTATCGTTGTTGGACATTTGGGTTGGTTCCAAGTCTTTGCTATTGTGAATAGTGCCGCAGTAAACATACGTGTGCATGTGTCTTTATAGCAGCATGATTTATAATCCTTTGGGTATATACCCAGAAATGGGATGGCTGGGTCAAATGGTATTTCTAGTTCTAGATCCCTGAGGGATTGCCACACTGACTTCCACAATGGTTGAACTAGTTTACAGTCCCACCAACAGTGTAAAACTGTTCCTATTTCTCCACATCAATATTGTCAAATGACTTGAGATCATTTAGGTCATTCTAGGTAATTTTTTCTGTCCATATAAATTTTAGAAGAAGAGGGTCAATTTTTGAAGAAAAACAGGTGTAATTTTGATTGAGAATACAATAAATCTCTGGAATAATTGAAGGAGAATTGTAATCTTTACAACATTAAGGATTCTGGTTTATGAACACAGTCTGTCTCTATTTAGGTTTCTTTTAATCTCTCTGTCAATGTCTGAACATTATAATAGTTAGATTTTTCATATATTTTTCAAATCTGTATTCAAATATTGCATATTGCATTTTTAAAATTTATTGCAAATGGTAAATTAAAATGTAAATTTCTACATATGTATTGGTGGTACATAGATATACCATACATTTTTAGATATTAATTTAATATCCTACAATATTTATCAACTTACTTATTCATTTTAGTAACTTTTTTGTGGATTCTCTATGAATTTTTATGCGCACATTCATGTCATCTGTGAATAAATGGAGCTTTTTACTTTGTCTTGCCTTATTTTAATAGCTAGTATATTTAGTATAGTGTCAGTGCAAATGTACAAACCTGCCTTATTCCTTATCTTTCAGGGAAAACTTTTAACATTAGTCATTAAACATAATTTTAGCTATAAATTTTTATAGATGCCTTTTATGAGACTGAGAAAATTAACTTCTATTTACAGTTTACTAAAAGTTCTCCATAATAAATGAATGTTTACTTTTGTCATTTTTTTTTAGTTATCGAAATTGCCTGGTTTCAGTCTGATGATATGGTGAATTATGTTGCTTGACCTCCGAGTGTTGAAGACCATCCATTACTAAAATCAATCATTTTGTCATAATAAGTTACTCTATGCATTTACTCCTAGACTCCCTCTGTTAATGTTTTCTTAAGGGTTTTGGTACCTATATCTATGAGTGATAAAGGCTGTAAATGTCATTTCTTCTGTCACCTTTGCTTGGTTTTGACATTAGGCTAAGGCTGACCTAATAAAATGTGTAGTATGTGCTCCTGCCTCTGTGTTCTTAAAAAAGTTTGCTTGGTGTTAGGTCTTTCTCAAATGCTTGATAGAATTAAAAAATAAAGCCACTTTGGCATGAAGCTTTCTTTGTAGGTAAAGTTACTAATTACAGAGCAGTTTATCTAACTGATAGGAAACAATTTTTTTTTCCAATTATTCTTCAGTTAATTTTGGTAATTTTTTTCTATTGAGAGAAATGTTCTATTATGAAGTTTTAGAATTTGTTGTCAGGAAGATTTTTATTGTAAACCTGATTTATTACACTAATTTATCTAGTATGTACAGTTATTGTTCTTTTTTCATTGTAGTTATTAGTAATTTATGCCCTCCTGATTTATATCTTGACCATGATAGCTAGAATTGTATAATTTTTCTTAATTAGAAATATTTTTACATTTCTATATTTTTGGTTTGCTACTTTATTAACATTTGTCCCCATTTATATTTTTCTTTCTTCCACTTATAGGGAAAAGTAGATAATTTATTTGTTTTTTAGATTATTGATTTTAGAACTTTATCTTTTCTATGCATATAATTAAACCTACACATTAACTTCAAGGCCTGTTCTAAGCTGCTTCACAAATTTTGATGTATTTTGTTTTCATTTTCCTCTTTATTAAAAATACTCCCTCTTGTGATATTTTTCTGATAGTTATGAATTACTTAGAATAATTATTCATTAATGATATAAACTGTATAATCATTTATGGATTATACAGCCTTACATGTGGTTTTAGTAGTGAACTCAAGCCTTTGCAAAGTGTTGACCCTTTATTTGCAGGCTACATTTTTCTATTGCTTTGCACACTTAATTAATTTTTTTGATAAGATGATGGACACTGTAACTGTTATAGTTTGACCATCTGGACTCAGTTTTCTCTTTTAGAGTGTTAGGCTTTGTTTAACCTGCAGTTAGGTTACTTGTGGGTCAGTATGATTACTTTCAGGTTTACTTTTAGCTTTGCTCTGAAAAACCTAGATTTGTTTTCACTTCAGGAATGTTTCCGTTTTACCACGAAAATTTTACCCATTGTGGTGTCTAATGAATCCTCTTCTTGAGGATTCACTCAGCTTGCAGTGAGCCAAGATCATGCCACTGCACTCCAGCCTGGGCAACAGAGCGAGATTCCGTCTCAAAAAAAAAAAAAAAAAAAAAAGCATGCAGTAATTTTTTTTTTTTTTTTAACTCAGAGAATTGTTTATCTTACAACTTCTTTGTAGATTTTTGCCTGGCCTAGTTGAATTTCTTGCTACATGTGAGTAGCCTAGTACTCAGCAAAGAGTCTTAATTAGGTAAGTCAGTGCCTATTTAAATATCTGGAACTCTTTCTGTGGTCTCTCTCTCCCTTATTGAACTCTGTCCCACAACTTAACTTCATCAACCTTCTCAGATTACAATTTCTGAGCTTTCAATTCAGCAATGCCTCTAGGCTCTTCTAAGCTTTCTCTCTCTCCTCCCTCCATCCAGTTTTTTCTGCAGCTGTAAAGTCAAGCTGATCATTGCGCTCACATTGTTTTTCTTTTCTCAGGGTTTACAGTCACCCTCTGTCTGTTGTCCAATGTATGAAAACTATCGTTACATATAGTTTGTCCAGTTTTCTCATTGTTTATAAGGGATGTAAATCTGGGTCGTTATTATTCCATTATGGACAGAAAAAGAAATCCCCTAAGTCTGTTTACGATATTTTGAAACAGAAAAAAAAAAATGTTGCTGTATGTGTCTGCTATCATTTACTACTTGGCAAAGAGTCACTGTTCACCAAAGCATAAAATCAAATGCTTAATTTGAAGTTGTTAAGCTGTATTTGAAAAAGCAAATTCAAACAAGTTTAGTTAGATGGGTATCAAATGCAGTACAAGTTAAAGGTAGGCACTTCTAATATATTAATTTCTTGAAATGTGTTCTCATTGCAGATGTTACGTGTCACTTAAATCAGAAAATGAATCTTAAGCTAGACTAGTTCATAAACTTTTTCAACAACAAAATAGAAAAATATATTAGAGAGAATTCTGTGATCATATTTTAACTTGTTCGTAATGACATTAGAAACTTAGTGGTACTGCTATTGGGATTGATATGTAAATATATCAAGAAACTGCCTATAATTTTTCATACAGACATGGGATATTACATGTGATGATAAATTATAAATATGATTGAATGTGAAGCTGAATGATTAAGCTTGGAACCAAAGAGTAAGCACTCAATAAATACTACTTGACTGATTTATAAGCAAGGGTACAATTTTAAATGCATCCAAATGTTTAAAAAGCCTGCAGACCAGGTGCAGTGGCTCACGCCTGTAATCCCAGCACTTTGGGAGGCCGAGGTGGGCGGATCACGAGGTCAGGAGATCAAGACCATCCTGGCTAACACGGTGAAACCCCGTCTCTACTAAAAATACAAAAAATATTAGCCGGGCTTGGTGGCGGGCGCCTGTAGTCCCAGCTACTCAGGAGGCTGAGGCAGGAGAATGGCGTGAACCCAGGAGGCGGACCTTGCAGTGAGCCGAGATCGCGCCACTGCACTCCAGCCTGTGCGACAGAGCAAGACTCTGTCTCAAAAAAAAAAAAAAAAAAAGCATGCAGTAAAATTAAAATAAATAAGTGGTAATAATATGCTACTATAGATCTCATAATTTCAAGACAGCATTTTAATTTCTCATAACAATTAACCAAAAATTTAGATTTGCTTATCTCTGAGACTAATATTCACATTATTCCAATATACCAGTTAAGAAATATTGGGGAAATAGACCAATATAGGAAAATGTGTCTATTTTCTGTAGTTTTGTGATGACAGAGCCCAAGTGGAACACTGAAGAGTCTAACTAGAATGCGAACCATAAGATGCAGACATTCCTAACTTCCAGATTTCTTAACTTTAGAGATATCCTCAACAGTTAAAAGATGTAGTGAAGTGTTTTTCTAGTTTCCACATTCTTTCTTTTATCTTCATCTCTCAGAAAAATATATATATGCTGAATACTTTCTTTCTGTTACCATATACAATACAACCACCCAAATATTTTCTCTTTTATTCCAAATAAATATTCAGTTTCTCATTTCTTTAAGGTGATTTTTACTTTTTTAACAATGCCTCAACTAACTTATGTAATAAATTAATCTAGGATCACTGCTATAATATCAAAGACCCATTATCTTTAACTCTCATCTAAAATGGGAAACATCCCTATTTAATAGTGGCTTTCAATGGAACGACCAAATTTTCTTTCTTTTTTTTTTTTCTTTTGTGAGACAGAGTCTCGCTCTGTTGCCCAGGCTGGAGTGCAGTGGCGCAATCTCGGCTCACTGCAAGCTCCACCTCCTGGGTTTACGCCATTCTCCTGTCTCCTGCCTCAGCCTCCCGAGTAGCTGGGACTACAGGCGCCTGCCACCATGCCCAGCTAATTTTTTTGTATTTTTAGTAGAGACGGGGTTTCACTGTCTTAGCCAGGATGGTCTCGATCTCCTGACCCTGTGATCCACCTGCCTCGGCCTCCCAAAGTGCTGGGGTTACAGGTTTGAGCCACCACGTCCTGCTCAAATTTTCTTTCTAACCTGCAGAGGTTAGGAGTTAACCTAGGATTTGAAAGTGTATGCTAATAGGAATGGCAGATTTTGTAATGAAAACTCAGTAGAGAATGTACCTGGAGAAAGAAAACATTGTAGAATCCTAAAATCATTACACTGGTGTAGTTTATAATGTTTAAAGTTCATAATGTTATGATATTAATATATAAAGTTTTTAATGTGAAAGATAAAATAACTCATTTCCTGCCACATAAGAAACCTGGTTTACAGGATGCTTTTAATTTTTGCTAACATATAACAGATTTAAACTAGGTCCTTCAACCTAAAACATATATTCTCATTTGTTACATTACTAACAACATATTCAACTTAAGCTTATAGAAGACTGGCATAATATCTATGATAGATTTCAAGATATTGTGACCAAGCATGTTTTTCTACCCGGTCTGGGAAGTCATTTTGGTGGTTAGAGCTATGCATTTCAATAGTGATAATGCAAAAGAGTTAAAAAGAGCAAAACTACACTTACTTTCAGAAACTATAACACTTATCTAAAATGTAGAAGTTTTCAGAGAAGAAAAGTGCATTTCAGTTATTCCTTGAGTCATAGATCTTAGCTTATTTATTGCTTCTCTAACTTTAGGGGGCTTTAACTCTCATTCAATGGTCTGGTAAGTTTCATTATGTCCTGACTGATGAAATAAAGGCAAATATATAATTTCTTAACAGAACTTGTGTTACAATAAGAACAGATAAATGAGCTGACCTAGTGGATGTCCTCAGATGCCTCAAGGAATTAAATGTTCAGCTGAGAAGAATTTCAATCAATGTCAATACCCTGCCTGCCATCAGATTTCAGATTTGGAATGGTGCTCAGCCACAAACTCCTGATAGTCTATTAAGGACAGGAACTTCAAATTTCAATCAAGATCTGAAAAAATCTCAATGTCTGGGCGATTCTGTCTTATTTAAAAGCTTTTATTTAAAAGCTTTAATTTATCTGAAAACTGTAACACACGTTAGAAATGGTGAGGAAAGAAGAAGACAGCTTTAAATAAATCTCTCCAAAATAAATACTAGGTCAGAAAAATTAAAACATTGCATATTTTATTGTGTGACATTAATCTACATTGATCCCCAGACAAACTGAGTTCCCCTCCAGTAACTTTTCAACCATATTTCAAACTGTAATGATGCAGAAAGGTCAAAACAAGAAAAGATTGTAGCAACATTGATATTTGGCATGTATAATACACTTCGTTTCTGTAAGACATATTTTAACTGGCAAGAATTTTTCTTGTGTCATACAATTTAATATCAAATAAAGATCTTTCTTTCTTTCTGTGGATTTTTGTGTATAATGAGATAAAGTAACAACAAAGTGCTTCTAAGAAGATTATGTTTTAATTGTAGGATTTTTTATTTGCTTTGATCTTTGTGTAGATGGCTATCTTGACATAGGTACTTAGAAATATCTACGGAGAATCATTTATTGCTAAACTCAAAGAAAAAGGACAGTATTTTAAGATTCACCATCATAACAAATAATAATTTATTTCATAAAAGTCTGAGTATGCTTGTACAAGAAAATAATGAAGTAAGTTTTTGAAGTTTACATCACTCTAGCTTTTAAATTAACAGACTATTTGAACATGGGCTTTTCATTAATCTTTGGCTCTTGATGTTCTCACAGGTGATAAAATGTTGAACCATGGGATTTCCTAGGGTTCTTTTTGTATATTAAATCCATGAGGCAAGTTTTGCTTTCCACAAACACATTAAATTACACTCTATTAAATATGGATACTATGTTTTTCAGTACCTATATTTTCAAAATTGTCATAGTTGTAAGAGAATTTTACACATGAAAAGTATTTAAACTTACTTTAAATGAGTCATATAAATGAGTAATGTTTTCTTAATCATTTTATTTAAAGCTGCAAGTACCTTTGATGTATTTCAGATGCGTATCCTTGAATACATCTTGGTACTTTTAAGGTAAAAATTGATTCTGGGCTACACATTTAGTTTTGAGCCAATACCTTCCTGAAAGTAAATCCTGAGAGTCTTTCTTGTAGTGTTGTCAGGACAGTATACTATCGATTTTTCCTTGTATTTTGTTAGTTCACAGACTTCAAAATCATACATATATGGAGAGATAATACCCGTTATCTCATTCTAATATCTTTATTTTCCTATTTAGAATGAGAGAGAAATATCTGTTTAAGGGAATACAGAGAGAGACCTCCATTTCTATTCATTTTGACAGACAAAGAAAATACTAAAGGGATATTTCACATTTTTCAAGTATGTAATCCTTTGGGATAACATAAAAGTCATAACAGTTAATAATATTGCTTCCAAATATGTAAATCAAAATTAGAAATATAAGTAGAATTTGAAAAATTTACAATAACATTCTGAGTCTTTGAGAATAGTCATATTGAAACTTGATGCAGTCTCTTGGCTTTGAATTTACCAGCCCACTACAGAAGGAAAAACTGGATCAAAGTATATATCCTCAAACTTATGTTGCCATTTGTGCTCAGCAAATAGGAAAAAAAAGTAGATAAATCTCCCCATGTGTTAAACGGAAGGATGGCTACCTGGTTTTCTGGTTGCTATAGACTGAACATCTCTGATTTAGGAGTAGTCAATGTGGAAGGAATGCATCAACTTCCTAGTTTTTATTATACTGTAGAAGTATAGACGATGTAATGAGTTTTTCTTCATCTTTGCTCTATTTTCACAATTGTTAGTGGAAATTTTTCTAGTACATAAATAAAGGTTTAATCTCAGTGCTATTCTAAGCCTTTTTTTTAATCTTCCCCTTGGGAATTAGGAGGACATGACTCTTGGCCTATGACATTTTAGCCAAAAGTTAATTATATTTTAGTTGTTTTGCAATTCCCCACAAATAATTAATAGATTCAAAGAGTAGTCAAGGACTTAAGAGTACAGTATTACCATACCCTGAACAAAAGTTGTGAAAACCCGGAGAGATAAATAAATGTAAAAATTATTGACATAGTGATGACAGTAAAGATACTCTTGTCAAGTCAGTCTTTAGTTTTGTTCTTGTATTAGTCCACTTTCACACCACTATAAATAACTACCCAAGGCTGGGTAATTTATAAAGAAAAGAGGTTTAATTACTTCACATTTCCACATGGCTGAGGAGGCCTCAGGAAACTTATAATCATGGCAGAAGGAGAAGGGGGAGCAAGGCATGTCTTATATGGTGGCAGAAAGGAGAGAGTGAGGGGGAAAATGTCACACTTTTAAACCACCAGATCTCATGAGAACTCACTCACCAAATAGCATGGGGAAAATTCACCCCCACGATCCAATCACCTCCCATGAGGTCCCTCTGCTGACATGTGGGAATTACAATTCAACGTGAGATTTGGATAGGGACACAGAGCAAAATCATATCACTCCACCCTTGGATCCTCTCAAATCTCATATCCTTCTCAGATTGCAAAATCAATTATGCCTTTTCCAACAGTCCCCTGAAGTCTTAACTAATTTCAGAATTAAGTCAAAGCTCAAGTCAAAGTCTTATCTGAGACAAGCCAAGTCCCTTCCACCTATGAGTCTGTAACATCAAAAATAAGTTAGTTACTTCCAAGATATGATGAGGGTACAGGCAATGGGTATGTGCTCCCATTCCAAAAGGGAGAAATTGGACAAAGAAAGGGGCTACAGGGCTCATGCAAGTCTGAAACACAGCAGGGGAGTCATTAAATTGTAAAGTCCCAAAATAATCTCCTTTCAATTCATGTCATATCCAGGGCAGGATAATGCAAGGGGTGGGTTCCCACCATCTTGGGCAACTCCTTAATGGGCTGGCATTGAGTGTCTGCTGCTTTTCCAAGCGCATGCTGTAAGCTATCGATGGATCTGGAATTCTGGGCTGTGGAGGATGGTGGCCCTCTTCTCACAGCTCCACTAGGCAGTGACCCAATGGGGACACTGTGTGAGGGCTCCAGTCCCACATTTCCCACTTGCACTGCTCTAATAGATGTTCTCCATGAGGTCTCTGACCCTACAACAGACTTCTGCCTGGATATTCAGGCATTCCATAAAACCTCTGAAATCTAGGCAGAGATTCCAAAACTGTTGCCTTCTGCATACCATAGCCGCAAGACCACATGGAAGCCACTGAGGCTTGGGGCTTGCACCCTCTGAAGCAATGGCCCAAACTGTACCTTATTCCCTTTTAGCCATGGCTGAAGCTGGAGCATCTGGGACACAGGGTGTCATGTCCTGAGGCTGCACAGAGCAGCTGGGCGCTAGGTCTATCCCATAAAACCATTTTTCCCTCCTAGGCCTCTGGGTTTGTGATAAGAGGGGCTACTGTGAAGATCTCTTAAATGCCCTGGAGACATTTCCCCCTTTATCTTGACTATTAATATTCAGCTTCTGTTTACTTAGGCAAATTTCTGCAGTGAGCTTGACCTTGAATTCTCTCCCAGAAAAATGGGTTTTTCTTTTTAACTATGTGGTCAGGCTGTAAATTTTTCAAACTTTTGTGCTCTGTTTTCCTTTTAAACGTAAGTTCCAACTTCAGACCATCTCTTTGTGACTGCATATGACTGTATGTTGTTAGGAACATCCAGACTACTTCTTGAATGCTTTGCTGCTTAGAAATTTCTTCCAACAGAAACCTTAAATCATCTAGTTCAAAGTTCCACAGACCCCTAAAGCAGGGACACAATGCCACCAGTCTCTTTGCTAAAGCATAACAAGAGTGACATTTGCTCCAGTCCCCAATAAGTTCCTCATCTTCATCTGAGACCACTTCAGCCCGGACTTCATTGTTCATATCACTATCAGCATTTTGGTCAAAACCATTCAACAAGTCTCTAGAAAGTTCCAACCTTTTATTCATCTTCCTAACTTCTGAGCCCTCCAAACTGTTCTAATCTCTGCTCGTTACCCAAAGTTAATTCCACATTTTCAGGTATCTTTATAGCAGTGCTCCACCCTGCTGGTACCAATTTTCTGTATTAGTCTATTTTCATGCTGCTATAAAGAAGTATCTGAGACTGGGTAACTGATAAACTAAATAGTTATAACTGACACATTTCTGCATGGCTTACAGGAAACTTACAATCATGGCAGAAGTTGAAGGGGAAGCAAGGCACATCTTGCATTGTGGCAGGGGAGAGAGTGAGGAGGGAAGTGCCACATTTTTAAAACATTACATGTACCCTAAAACTTAAAGTATAATAATAATAAAATTAAAAAATAAAATTAAAAATACAAAAAACATCAAATCTCATGAGAACTCACTCACTATCATGCGAACAGCATGGGAGAAATCTGCCCCCCATGATCCAATCACCTCCCACCAGGTCCCTCCCCTGAAACATGAGGATTACAATTCAACATGTGATTTGGGTCGGGACACAGAACCAAACCATGTCAATTCTATAGAATCAATTATCATTTTATTCAAAACTGCATGCTAACTAGAAGTGGATACTGTTTTTGCATAGCAAATACAGTTAACCCTTAAACAAGACAAGTTTAAACTGTGTGGGTCCACTTATAAACAATTTTTTTCAACATATATATCTGAAACTTTTTTGGTGATTTTTGACAATTTTAAAGAAACTCATAGATGAACTTCATAGCCTAGAAATTTTGATTTTTTTAAAAAAGTTAGATATGTCATGAATTCATAAAATATATGTAGATATTATTCTGGTATGTCCTTTATTGCCATAAAACATACAGGAATACATTATAGAAAGTAATTTATCAAAACTTACATGAAAAAAAACTTACAGATGATGCTTGGCATCATTTGCAGCTGAGAGAAGTGTAAACAAATGTAAAGATGCAGTACTAAATTACAACTGCATAAAATTAACTGTGTTACATACTATACCACTGTAATAATGTCATAGCTACCTCCTGTTGCTATTGTGGTGGGATCAAGTGTTGTGAGTATCTGTTTAAAACACCATGTAATGCTAATCATCTTCACATGAGCAGTTCGTCTTCCCTGTAAATTACACATCACAATAAATTGTGATCTCTCTTGGCTCTCATGTATTTTTTAATCATGTTTAGTGCAATACTAGAAACCCTGAATAGTACTATGGGACCCATAGGAAGTGCCACTAATGATGCTAGAAGTGCGCACAAGAAGCAGAGAAATGTCATGACATTACAGGAAACAAAAATGAATTGCTTGGTATGTACCACAGATTGAGGTCTGCAGCTATAGTTGTTCACCTTTCAAGATAAATGAAACTAGTGTAGGGACCATTGTTAAAAAAGGAAAAAAAATGTATAATGTCATCACTGAAAATACACAGAAAGATAACCTTTCCCTATTTGTGAAATACCTTTGTATCTCCTATTGAAAATGCAGCTTTTATGTAGATGCCAGGTTGCTAATAGAAAGGCATACCTATAAATTCTAATATGAATCAGGAAAAAGTAAAATCATTGTATGACAACCTAAAGCAAATGAAAGGTGAAGGATCTAGATATGGAGAATTTGGTGCCAGCGAAGGACGGTTTGTTAATTTTAGAAAGTGCTTTGATTTAAAAATGTCAAGATAGTAGGAGAAGTAGCTTCTGCCAACCAAGAGACACCAGACAAGTTTGTAGAAGCCAATAAGAAACTCATTGAGGAGAAAGAATATCTGCCTGAAGAGGTTTGGAATGCCAA
Source organism: Homo sapiens (assembly GCF_000001405.40). NCBI lineage: Eukaryota > Metazoa > Chordata > Mammalia > Primates > Hominidae > Homo > Homo sapiens. The sequence continues at coordinate 80,294,442 of NC_000003.12, forward strand.
TGAAAATATCTGGAAAATAATTTCACAAAGGACACTTATTAGTAAGGAAGAGACGTGAGCATCAGAATTTAAGGCATGAAGGGATAGGCTAACTCTGCTGTTTTGTGCGAAGTCTTTTGAGTTTATGATTAGGACTGCCCTTATCTATAAGCAGCTAACCTCCAAGCCTTGAAGGGAAAAGATAAACAATGCTGCCAGACTTTTAATTTCACAAAAAGAAGGCAATGAGACTCGTTTTTCTGGATTGATTCCATTGTTGCTTTGCCCCTGATCACGGAAAGCATTTTGAAAGTAAAGGACTGCTTTTAAAGTTCTTTTATTTATTGATGTTTATTAAAATAGTATATTTTTTTCAATACAGGCTTTTGCTGTGTTGCCCAGGCTGGAGTGCAGTGGCATGGTCATGACTCACGATAGCCTTCACCTCCTCTACTCAAGTGACCCGCCTCCCCCACCTCAGCCTCCCAAGAAGTTATGAATACAGGCATGTTCTTTTGATATTAGACAATGCCCTGGCCACCCAGAGCCTCATGAGTTAAACATTGAAGGCTTCAAAGTGGACTATGTGCCCCCAAACACAGTGTCTTTAATTCAACCTCTAGATCAGGGGGTCATAAGGGCCTTTAAGGTTCATTATACATGATACTCTATGGAAAAGATTGTCAATACTCTGGAAGAAAATCCTGATAGAAAGAACATCATAAAAGTTTGGAAAGATGCCATTAAAAGTTAAAAGATGCCATTAAAAGATGCCATCATAAAAGTTTGGAAAGATACCCATTAAAGATGCCATTGTTGTTACAGAAAAAGCTGAGAAGGCCATCAAGCCTAACGCAATAAGTTCCTGCTGGATAAAACTGTGTGCAAATGATGTGCATGACTTCACTGAATTTACACCAAAGCCAATCAAAGAAATCATAAAAGAGATTTTGAATGTGGCAAAAAAAAGGTGGGAGCTGAAGGGTTTCAAGATATAGATACTGGAGAAATTCAAGAACTAATAGACACCACACCAGAGAAATTAACAGAAGATGACTTGCTGGAAATGAGCACATATGCACTAGTGTCAGGTGATGGGGAAGAAGATGTGAAAACAGTTCCAGAAAACAATTGACATTAAAGAATCTGCCAGAAAAGTTCTAATTATTCAAGGCTACTTTTGACTTATTTTACAACATGGACCCTTCTATGATGCAAGCACTGAATCTAAAGCAAATATTGGAAAAATGATTGGTACTGTATAAAAACATTTTAAAGAAATTAAAAAGCAAAAAAGTCAGACAAATCAAAATATATTTCTGAAAACTTAGAGCAAGTATGCCTGTATCTCTCGCTTCCCCTCCTCCACCTCTTCCTCCTCTGTCGTCTCTGACACAGAAACACCAACTCTTCTTCTTTTGTCTCCTCCTCAACCTACTCAATGCAAAGATGATGACAAAAAGATCTGTATGATATATAACTTTTAATTAATGAATAGTATATATATATTTCTTATCCTTATTATTTTAATAGCATTTTTGCTCTAATTATTAAAATATGGTACATACTATAAATACAACTTATAAATATGTGCTAATTGACATTTACATTATATCAAAAGCTTTCAGTAAACACTGGGATACTAGTAATTAACTTCTGGGGGAGCCAAAAGTTGTTTGTATATTCCATGACATAGGAGGGGAGCGTTGGTGCCCTAACTCCTGTGTTGTTCAGGGATCAACTTTAATCATTATTTCACTATTATCTGAATTTTTTGGCTGTATTTTTTATATCAGTGTTTGTAGATGGCTCAGTGCATATTGATACTGTGTTGCTACAAAGGAATACCTGAAGTTGGGTAATTTATAAACAAAAGAGGTTTATGTGCCTCACGGTTCTGGAAGCTGCCTAGGAAGCATAGCATGGGCATTTGCATCTGGTGACAGCCTCAGGCTGCTTCCATTCGTGGCAGAAAAAGAAGGGTAGCCAGCTTGTGCAGAGATCACATGGCAAGAGAGGAAGCAAGGGAGAGGCAGGAGGTGACCATTTAAACAACTAGCTCTTGTAGAAACTAGTGGTGGGAACTCCCCAATCTCTGAGGGAGGGCATTAATACATTCATAAAGAACTGCTCCATGACCCAAACACTTCCCACTGGGTCTCACCTGTCAACACTGCAACACTGGGAATCAAATTTCAACATAGGATTTGGTGGGGACAAACATTTATATCCAAACCACAGCAGGAGGGATAATAAGCAGTAATCAGTCTTCTTACTGCTGAGCAGAGGCTGAGATGACAATAACTTACTGTTGTTCTAAGAAGCAACTCTTTGGTGATAATTCCTATTATTTGAGATGCCTTTGGCCACCAGTACTCACAGTATTCTGGGTAAAATAATCTACCGCCATTTTTATTTGGGTTAGAATTGTGTATATGTCTTAGTTATTTTGGGAGAAAGAATATTCACTGTATTCGTTGTAAATGTTGGGACTGGTTATTCACCCTTCCTACAATGCTGTTTTTACAAATTTAATAGCTTATTCTTAGGATAGTATTCTCAAACTTGCTTGCTAATTTGTACTAGTTAAACATGAAATAAGAAGAAATGCATCTAGCCGTTCCCCAAATTTAGACACATTCAATAGGGACAATGCTTGCCTACTTTTCAATTGTATAAATCCTATAAATTTGACCCTATTTTGAAAATATATGAGGACTGAATACTCCACATAGTGTTTTTCCTATTGATTATGCATTATCATGTCAATTATTTATAGATTTAGTAAAGAATTATCACAAATTCAATATTGCTTTTTCATTTTTATTATTTAAAATTTTTCGATTTCTGTAAAATATGTACATGCCTTTGTGAATATTTTAAGGCAAACCTTAAGGAGATAATATAACAGAGATAACTAGAATGCCATTTACTTAGTCAATATTTTTTAGAAGTTTTTTCAGTATCTACTTAATATGTGGGCTGAACTTTGCTAAACAGGATCACTGAACATAAGAGTGACAGAAAAGATAGTTTTATAATATCTACTATGCCAATACAGAATAAATAAAATCTGTGAAAGCACTTCATACAAATGTTTTGAAAGACTGATTTCAGAAACCTCCTTTGTACAGGAAAACACTAGTAGATTAGAGTATAGAGGAAAAAGATTCTTTATTCCGATAAACATTTAGGAATAATTTTGGCATGAAAAATTAAGTCAGATTTTGTGTATGTCATAAATAACAATGTAATATTGTATTTATATATAACTTTCATCTAAGGAATGCCAAAGCAATTTGAGGTTTGAATGTATACTTTTGAAACACAAGGAAAGAAAGCTACCCACCTTCCTTCCATTAGCATTTATATTGAGAACCCAACAGAGTTTGGCTAACACGAAGATTGAACACCAATTACAAGTTCGCTGGTTTCCATAGAGTCGCATGAGAGCATATCATGTTGTCTTGGAAACAAAAGTGTCTGTAAACACCATCATTTCCAATCTAGATTGTGAGAGCAGCTATGGACACTTTCTTGGATTCCAAACTGTACAAACTGTATGTTCATATTCCCATTACCATGGTAACAAGGACCAGTGTCCATTAAACAAGATGAAAAAGATGAATCTTTGACTCTTTGAAAGTGACCCATATCTAACTATTTTTTTTGTTTCTGTGCTTCCTAGAGCCATAATGCGAAATAAGCCTAAATAAAATCTATGTTTATGGTGTGTGTATGTTATTCTATACATTTCACTTAACTGTCTACGAACTGTATAAAATTTAAAATATTTGATGAATCAGTACTCTCCTTTCACTTATAATTGATGTAAACCTAGTTGTGTTTTTACCTACCTTTACTGTGGTTTGAAATGCGCGTTGAAATTTAATTTTCACGTCACAGTAATAAGAGTTGGGACTTTTAAGAGGTGTTGAGGCCAGAGGACTTCATCCTCATGGGTGGGCTTGGCATCACTAAAAAGAGGGCGAGTTTGGCCTCCTCTTGCCCTCTCTTGTCCTCTTCTCTGCTGCTATGTGATGATGAGTAAGAAGGCTATTGCCAGATGCCAACAATTCAATATTGGATTTTCCAGGCTCTAGAACTATGAGCCAATACATTTCAGTTCATTGTAAATTACCCAGTCTAAGGCATTCTGTTATAGCAGTACAAAATATTGTAAGATATTCATATACTTCTTCACTCTCCTCTATTTATTACAGTTAAATCCAAATTATTAGTGTTGTTTTTAAGAGAAATGAGATTTCTTTTTATAGAGACTACAGTTCTCTTAATGATTGTATTAAAATCAAAAGTATTGTGGAAAATTGAAGAGTTTAGATTTGTAGGCCTTTTGGATATATTTAAGTGTTACTATATATATTCTATAAAAACTGAATTGCAAAAATCTTGCATGCACCTACAAAATATTTAAATGTAACAAAGTTGATCAGTGGAAGGAAATTTTCAATCGATTTACTAAAAAAAAGTACTCATACTACAATCCTCCTTTATTGATTCTTGCCCATAATTTAAGAAGATGCACATATTTCTTATGCGAACACATCTGTTTTTGATGTCTGTGTAAGGGTTTTGTGGTTTAAACATATCAACATTCACATAACTAATCCCTTTTTGATGAAAATTGTTGTTTCTAAATAACTCATTATTAATAAAATACAACAAACATCTTCACAAATATATTTTTTGCTTACATCTATATTTTAGTAAGATGGTGTATTAGTCAATCCTTATACTGCTATAAAGAGCTAATTGAGAGTGGGTAATTTATGAAGAAAAGAGGTTTACTTGACTCACAGTTCCACAGGCTGTAGAGGAAACATGGCTGGGAGGCCTCAGGAAACTTACAATCATAGCCGAAAGCAAAATGGAAGCAGACACATCTTACCATGGAGGAACGAGAGAGAGAGAGAGAGAGAGAGAGAGAGAGAGAGAGAGAGAGTGAAAGTGCTACAAACTTTTAAAGAACCAGATCTCATGAGAACTCACTCACTGTCACAAGAAGAGCAGGGGGACATCCGCCCCTCTGATTTAATCACCCCCCACCAGGTCCCTCTCCCAAAATTAGGAATTACAATTTGATGTGACATTTAGGTGGTGACACAGAGCAAAACCATATCAAATGGATTCCAAAAATGTTTTTTCCTTATATAAAATTCAGTAGATACAATATTATATACATTGGATATAATATTATATACTGTCTTTGGCAATGTTCCCTGATAATTATGCAGATTATTATATTAAACTGAAGTATATCTTTATCCTACTTTAGCAAAAATGTAATATGCTTGTAAATAAATAAATCTACCACACTGTGTTCTTACACATACAGATGTAAGATACATATAAAAATTAAGTACCTTACACAAACACAGCATTTTTTGCACATATCTATGTATGAGAAACTTGCAGTCACTTTTTAATTAACCAGTGCAAGGAACTTAAACTTTGAATTAAAAAATGAGGTAACTTAACAGTAAAAGCAATAAATACATTAGTTCTCAGCCTGAGCTTCATGTCTCATGCCTGTAATCCCGGCACTTTGGGAGGCTGAGGCCGGCAGATCACCTGATGTCAGGATTTCGAGACCAGCTTAGCCAACGTGGTGAAACCTCGTCTCTTCTAAAAATACAAAAAATTGGCCAGGTGTGGTGGTGCATGCCGGTAATCCTAGCTATCGGGAGGCTGAGGAGAGTCCAAGAGAGAATAATGAATGAAGCAGAGTCTGAATGTTAGATGAGCACTGTCATTGAGTTTAGCGTTCAGATTCACTTCAGATTACAAGGTGCAGTGGAGAGGTGCCAGTGTTATTCATGAAACACAAATAAGAGGGGTAGACAGCCTTTGGTAACAGAAAATGCAATAATAATAGGATTTTAAAGATGTGTTTCCTATTGTACTTCATATTACTTAATATGCAAGTATGGCTCAAATAAACAAGCTTCAGTTTTTTTGCAATGTATATATGTAATCTCTAAATGTATGTCAAGAAGCATGATGTTGTTGAAATGAGTTCAAGATTGTTCATTACACTTTCCTCTTTCCTACACTGTGGTGCTCTCTCAGCGGCCAGGTTCATTGAAAGTAAGCCTACTTGTGATGTATGTTTCTCTGGATTAGGTAATGCCAATTTACAAAGTAGTAAATGATTTGTTATTTCACTTCTTTGGACCACACTCCTCTGCTAGACACTGGGACCTCAGTAAATGCTATATCTATGCCTATTACAGGAATATACTATTATCCTTATGAACCAAGTGTTCTTTGTGACAACTTGAACATTACTATTGAATAAAGCTCTTCAGGATCTTGACAGTGTCCAATTCAGATTATGCTATCGAGTCTGATTACTCCCAACTCTGTTTCATAAAGGAAGTGGCCAATGTCCAAGTGAATACTGGAGTTTTAAGTTTATTCTTCTTATTGTTGTTGTCATTATTTTTTGTTAGGGGATCATTTTCAACAGTTTTCTGGTGGGTTCCAACCATGTATCATTTCTTTCCCAGGGCAAAACAGGAAAACCCTGCTTTAAGGTTATAGAATTTTACTTAATTATTGGAAAATTTTAAATTACTTTAAAGTTTCAGAGACAAGGCTGTGGAAAAAACGACATTAACTCCAACTCCATGTCAATTTCAACTTTATAACCATATAATTTATTCCATTTTAATGTGATAAAATAGTAAGTTACACTCATTAATTTTTAAAATATGAAATCAAACCTGTATTGCTGGAAAAATCTTTACCTGATCCTGATGCCTTATCAGTTATGTATATTGCTGGACTTCATTTATTAAAATTTTTTGGATCTTGCAGTTGTGTTCATGAGGGCTATTTGTCTTTAGAGTTTATTTTGTTAAAACAATTCTTGCAGTGTTGTTTTCTGATTGTGACATTAGGCTAATACTGGCCTCAAAAGGAAGTGGAAAATGTTTACTCCTCTTCTATTTTAGATATAATTGGTGGACTATTTTAGATATAATTGGTATTATTTCTTTTTAAAATGTTTTGTAGAATGTCTTTTTGAAGCAATTTGATGCCAACACTATTGTGTAAGGTTTCACTATGATTTCCATTTCTAGGAGATATAAGGCTCTTCAGATTACTGTTATTCATGAGAGGGCTTTGATTTTCATATCTTTAATGAATTCATTTTTATTCAGGTTATAATTCTTTTTCATAGTATCTTTGTTATCGCTCCTTATTTTCCATCTCATATCTCTGGGGTCTCTAATAAGTTCCAATATTTAATATTTGATAATTATCATGTTACAATTGTATTAGTCTGTTCTCACACTGTTAATGAAGGTATATCTGAGACTGAATAATTCATAAAGAAAAAGAGTATTAATAGACTCATAGTTTCACATAGCTGGGGAGTCCTCACAATCATGGCAGAAGGTGAAGAAGGAGCAAAGGCACTTCTTACATGACAGCAGGCAAAAGGGCATGTGCAGGGGAACTCCCCTTTATAAAACCATCAGATCTTGTGAGACTTATTCACTATCACGAGAACAGAATGGGAAAAACCTGCTGCCATGATTCAATTACTTCGTACTCGGTCTCTCCCATGACACATTGGGATTATTACAATTCAAGATGAAATTTGGGTGGAGACACAGAGCCAAACCATATCAATAATCTATAAAACTATCCTACGTCCTAGATGTCTAATAGACATCTCAATGATAATATGACCTGAACACAGTTTCTAGTACACACTCCTTTTCAAAAATACTTAATTTCAAATATTATTTATAACGTTATCTAATCAGTTCCTCAAACCACAGCTTTATGAGCCCTCCTTTTTCCCTTTCTCATTATTATTCATATCAAATTATTCAATAGATATTGCTAGTTTTCCATCAGTAAATATCTCTAACATCTTCTCTCTTATACTATTGCCACCATATAAATCTTTCCATTCTGGCTTTTCTCTTTCTCTCTTCTTCTCTGCAGCTGCTTTTTCTCTGTTTCTATGCCCTGATAGTTCTAACCAATTCAATTTCCTGTACTCCCATCTCTGTCTCCTTCATTTACTGCATTGCTAAACTCTGTTGGAATTCTACTTCCCTATGGTATGGACTGGCAATAATTTCTGAAGAGTTAGCTGGAGCAATTACAGAGCTAACTTCATTTGGTTCCATTTTCTCAGGGATTGTAATGCTGTGCAGCCTTTGGTCCAATGCCTAAATGGTTGTCTTACATATTCTGTCCAATTTTCTAGTTACTTATGGCAAGAACATGGTTGACATAAAACTAAATATTTCACAGGCAGAAGCAGACATCTTTTCATTATTTTCTAAATATATTTTTGTAGGATATAGAATGATGGGTTGATAATCTCCTTGCCCCCAATACTTTAAAGATCTTTCTAATTTCTTCTGGCTTGCATTTTCTAAGGTAAGTCTGCAGTTATCTGTATTCTGTCATTCTCTCTGTAATATGCTTTTTTTTTCTTGCTTCTCTTAAGATTTGTAACCTTCCCTGATTTTTGGCAACTTATTATATCCCCTGGTAAAATTTTCTTAATTTTCATCCTATTTGAGGTTTACTAAGCTGTTAATATCTGTGTGTTTATATTTTAATATAATTTGAAAACATTTATGATTATTAATTCAGACTTATTTTTAGTCTCCCCTTTTACTCTTCTATTTATAGGACTTGATTATAAAACAAAAAGCCTTAGGTCTCTTTGTATTGTCCCTTAGGATTCTGAGACTCTGTTTATGTATTTTTTCTTTTATTTTTATTTTTATTTATTTATTTATATTTTTGAGACAGAGTCTTGCTCTGTCCCCCAGGCTGGAGTGCAATGATGCAATCTTGGCTCACTGCAACTTCTGCCTCCTGGGTTCAAGTGATTCTCCTGCCTGAGCCTCTCGAGTAGCTGGGATTACAGCCATGCACCAACATGCCCCACAAATTTTTGTATTTTTAGTAGAGTCAGGGTTTCGATATGCTGGCCAGGCTGGTCTCAAACTCCTGACCTCAGGTGATTCGCCCGCCTCGACCTCCCAAAGTGTTAGGATTACAGGCATGAGCTACTGCACCCGGTCAATTCATTTATTTTTTAACCATTATCTCTCTGTTTCTTCCTTTCTTTTTTTTTAAATCATTTCCTATCATGAATTCCAGTTCACTCATCTATTATTGTGAAGTTTTTTATCTGCTATTAATCTGATTAAGTGCAATTTGTATTTCAGATATTGTTTCATTGCTAAATTTTTACTTGATCCCAATTCTTACCATCCATCTCTCGCCTTCTTATGTTCATGTTTTCCTGTAATCCTTGAGAACTTTTTGTACTTGTCACAGTTTTTTATGTTTTTTCTTCTGTTTTGTTTTGTTGTCTTTTTGTTTTTTATCAATTTTTATTATATTATTGATAAAAGTTGCATATATATAAAATGTACATGATATTTTGATATATTTCTAAACTGTAAAATGATTACCATAATTAAGCCAATTAATTTATACGTCACCTCACATAGTTACATATTTTTGTGTGTGATGAGATCTTCTTGAGATCTTCTCTCTTAGCAATTATCAAGTGTAAAATACATTATTATTACTTATAATCACCACGCACTGCATTAGATTTCCAATACTTACTCATCTTATAACTAAAGGTTTCTATCCTTTGTCCAATGTCTCCCTTTTGCTCCCATATCCTCATCCCTGGTAATCACCATTATACTCTTTGTTGCTATGAGTTCAAATTTTTTAAATTTTTTTAAAGGTTTCCAATGTAAGTGAGATGACACAGCATTTATTATAAAGTCCTTGTTGGCCTATTTTATAATTGTAGATTTTTTAAAAACTCTATTATTTGTTCTACTGTTTTGTGGGTTATATTTTACATTTTTACATATCTAATGAGTTTTAATTGGTTTCTTACGTATTGTGAATTTCATGAGGCTAAATACTAATTTTTTTTTAAGTGGAGGTATTTGTTTGGGCTAACAGATTAGTTATGTATGAATCACCTAGATCTTCTAACACGTGTTTTTAAGTTAGTTAAGTTTTTAAATTACTGTCAAGCTGAAATAACAGGATAAAAATCTATTTGAAAAGTGTTTATTTAAGTGCAAAGATGAAAATGGTCATTTAGGTAACACAGACTTCAAAGAAATGGAGTTAGTGCTTCAAAGCTGGAAAGATAAGGGCCTTGCCTGTACGGACAGAAAACAAGGAAATTTAACAGGATTACAGCATTATTTATGCAAGGTTGTTTTATGAGTTGCAGCAATTTGATTAGTTGTAGCTGGGTTTTTTTCTTCCAATTTAAAAGACTATATTTAACATTCCATCTTAGATACTGTGATAGTCATGATGGCTTTGTGTCAAAGAAGTGAGAGGAAAGTTAATCTACAATGAAGAAATAATATGCTATAAGAGAAAAGTTAATATGTAATGAAGATATAATATAATTAAGACTTGTTTGAACTATTGGCAAATGTGCCATTATCAAAATATGAGTTGTAATTATATCCTACCTGACATGTATTTTCCTCTGTCACCATAGGTAACCTCAGCCATTATCTTTGAGTCTTTTATTCTCATATTCATTTACACATCTCAATCTTATGCAGTCCTTCTTTTGCCTGTCTTCTTAAGTCCTTTCACTGCAACTGTACATGTGCATTTACTACGTTTTTTAAAATCTCCTCATTGAATACTTCTTTCACCCTATCGAATTTACTAATCCTTGGAGATTTCTCCCTAATCGATATACTAATCAATTGAAGTTTCTTTTTTAATCATTCCTACTTGCTTCAATAAATATCCTTCAGATTTTCTATATCTGCTATCCAAACATTTGTTTTTCTTATTTCTTAATGTACTTCACTCTTTTAAAATTATGCTATATATTTAGGTTAGTCACAGTACTTTCTTCTGCTATCTGTATATAACTCCTTGTTACTCCTCATAATTACATAAAATTGTAGCTTGAGCCTACTCTAGCTCACAGACTTAAAATTTGGACTATTAATATAAGCCCTCCTATTAATGTGACCATATCACCATATAGCTAACATTTTCATTTCATTGAATCTAATTGTTTTCTCTGCTTCTTGTCATTTTTTATAGTTTTAGTGACATTACACTTTCATGGTTCTCCCTATTAATCTTTGTAGTTCATTTTTCTCTTCTATAAAGTAAAATATAGTAATCCCTCCTTGAATACATTCCATGTTCCCCAGTGTTTGCTTGAAATCATGGCTACTATCAACCTTTCTTTATTTACCTTATTTCTTTATTCTCTTTACTCACTGTTGATTTTACTCAAGCCCCTGACTTTACATACCACCTCCAAAATTATTCCATGTACTTTTCTAGTCTCAATAGCTCCCTTGAGCTTGAATCTCATATGATAAACTACTGGGTATCTAACTTTTAATATGACATCCCATATTTAATATAATCAAAATAGAGTTCTTACTTTGAAATACTCTTTCATAAACAACTGGGTTGTCCAGTCTTTCTCATCTTAATTTATATGTAACATTGTCTACCCAATTGATCAAAGCAAAGATTTAAGTCATTCTTATCATAGTGTCTCTTTTATCATTATTATTCACATCAAATTATTCAACAAATATTGCCATTTCCCATCAGTCTGTATTTGTATCATCTCGTCTATAACGTTAATGTTACCATACAAATCTTAGTAACCTGGAAATTTTTCCCCAGTTAGTTTCTTTTTTTTCCCATTTTCTTTTTTCATAATTGAACCTCTACTGTGTAACCAAAAGGGTTTTCAGAACCCTCCATGATAAACATTTTACTATAGACACCCTGACACACTGACTCGTCTAAAATATGAGATTATGCCTCTTCTCTGAACCCCAACTGATGGCTGTTTCTTGTATTCAATTCATTTCAGGTTTTGCTCTGTAGTTTTTCCCACTGTTGTAAATACTATTTCTCTCTTCTACATCTCTCTTTCTATTAACAATTCTTCCATTATTGATAACTTCTTCAACTTCTAAATTTATCACTGGCATGACCCTACTAAATGTGACCATCTTCTATGACCACAAAGAGCATCAGTGAGTTGACTCTGCCTTTGTATACTTACCTATAGATTTTTTACTATATTTGAATATATATGTGGATGAGCTTTATGTGCCCACTTTAACACTTTTTTCTTCATCTGTACACCAGCCTCATGTTTCCAAATTGTAGTTTACTTTTTGTAATTAACCCCACCATAACTGTGAGTCAGTATAAATATATATATATATATTCATAGCATTAATTAAATTATATTTTAACATTCATACCTGCTTTATACATAGAACAACTAGTTAAAGGTTGGGGTTAGGTTAAATTGAATAAGCTGCCACTTATATCCTGTAGATTGAGGAGTATAGAAGGGTATTTTCTTACCTCCAAACAACCACATTAATCCCACAGAAATGGCACTTAGCCAGACTGAAATGGCTGAAATGATAGAAGTAGAATTCGGATTACAGATAGGAATGAAGATGATCAACATTCAGGAGAGAGTCAGAATCCAATCCTAGTGAGAGAAGGTTCCAGCTGGGCTTCGAGTCGAGTAGGGGCTCAGAAAGCTGTGAAACTCACTCATTTCCTGCATCAGGACTTACTTTGGTCCTAGATGAATAATATTAAAGATATATGTTTAAAATATTCCTAACATCAGAATTTGTGCATGTGTTTTTTTTCCCCAAGAAAGTGATAAACAAACTTCTGCTGTAAGCTTCCCTGTGTCCTCGCTCCCTCTCTCCCTTCCCCTCCCCTAAAACTAAAAGGAATGTTAAACGCCCATTTTTCTGTGACCAGCAGACCTCATCTATGCCCCCAATTCCGATTCCTTGTAAACACTCTTCGTAAAATCCTGTGAGATCCTGTCTCCTTTGCCATGCCACTACAAGGTTATAAAGTAGATAAAACTTAAGTTCAATTCCAGTTTTCCTCAAGATCTGAGACATGTTAATTGTCTTTGTTTCTCACTCTGGTAACATCTTCCCACCGCACGTATTTCCCGCCTTAAAGAGTTTAAAAGGTGATCAAAAAAATCTAACACTGGCTACCTGCTCAGGATCTCTTCCACATTGTGGAAGCTTTGTACTGTCACTCTACTCAATGAAGCCTACAGTTTTTCTTTTTTTCTCTCAGTCTGATCCGTGTCTCTCTCTCACTGCGGGCTGCCACCCCACCAAATCTTTGGCATGGCTAAGGCAAGAACCTTTGGCGTTACATTTTGGCAAGCCTGCCAGGAGGATCTCCAGGAAAGGCATCTGGACCATCACGTGGTGAGTACGACTGGACCTCTTTCGCTTGCTATTCTGTCCTGTCCTTCCTTAGAATTCCAAAGCTAAACCAGGCACCTGTCAGCTACTTAAAGGTGATTAGTGTCATCACAGGACTAAAGACATGGCTGTCAGGCTGTCTGGAAAAGGGCTCTCTAACAACCCCCTGACCCTCTGGGGCTGGGAATGTTGGTTAGTCTGGACCCAGTTCCTACTCTTTCACTTTCCATGGTGGTCCCAAAGTACACCCGGGAGTTAGCGGCCATTCTAGTCTCCCAGATTTCCTGGTAGAGACCATGGCCCTGCCAGAGGCTCCCCCTGCAGGGGTTACTGAGCGTGAGACCGCCACATCTTCTGACTCCTGCCTCCTGGGTCCTAATGTCCACCGGCTAGACTTCTTTCCTCATGTCGCAAGCGAGGTTATTCCCGCTAGGCAGGATCAAGATTCCCTGGTTAGAAGTCTTAAATTCTTGGGGTGGTGCCCAGAAGATCCCTGTTCATGGTGCCCTCCAGGGTTTAGGCAGGTGTCACCACTCGATGGCTATTTTGAAGGGCCAGTTTCCCCACCATAGTGTGTGGTCCCCTACATCAGGACAATTTAAAGCCAGGTCTGTAATTTTCATGTGGACAGTAGAAGCCTTAGGGCATTTCCTCCATTGCTCCCCAGACAGACTTTCCCCTTCCTTGGGGCCTCTCAAGTACAATCTGTGGTGCATGGGTACAGCTCGTAGAGCTGTTGAATTGCTATTTGAACCATTCAATGTTTGTTATTGGAAGGAAGAAAATATAGTCAGTTGGGACAGAGGATACTGATACCACCTTAAGAGAGGGGCTTACTCTTTTGATGGCAAGTGGGAACAGAAGGCTACAGTACAGCAGCTGTTCTGTCTACCCTGGCCTAGAGGACATCCATCACCCCCTTTAAGCTTATTAAGCCTTCTGCCGCTAATTCAGAGATTCCTCCTTGAAGGACAATTTTATGGCCAGGCCCATGTAAATGGGGCCTTAGCATCCAAACATCAGTGGTGCACCAGACCCAGGACTTGCCACCCTGGAACAGGTAGGACGCATTGGCAGAAGGACCAAAATAAATCCAACAGTCCTTGTGCCCCATTTAGTGGTCAATGGGCGCATGGCAGGAGCAAGGGAACTTTCCATCCCAGCGGTAAGCACGGTTAAATCAGGTAGATGGAGGGCTCAGAAAAAGCAGCCGTGAGCTTTGAGCACAACTGGACCTGACCCTTGGGGGACGCCCTAAGGGACAATGAGTCCCAGGAATAACCAGGAGTGCGGACATCTGTTTGTTTAAAAGTCCAGAGGGGACCACAACTTCAAAACCGGACAGTCCCTTAAGATGTATCCTGAATAACTGGGACAAATTCAACTCTGAAACCTTAAAAAAGAAGGGGCTGCTTTTCTTCTGTACCAGTGCCTGGCCACAGTATTCCTTACAAAATGGAGAAACTTGGCCCCCTGAGGGAAGTATTAATTATAACACCCTTCTACAACTAGATCGTTTCTGTAAACAGGAAGGTAAATGGAGTGAAGTCCCTTATGTATGGCTTTCTTTCCCTTTGTGACAATACTGCCCTGTGCCAAGCCTGCAAGCTTTGACCAAATGACAGAGGCCCACAATTGCCTCCATACTCAGGGCCTCTTCCAGCAGCCCCACTCTCCACCCCCACTGACTCTCCTCCATCCGGCCCCACTGAAGTGTTAAAGGCACACTGGAAAGAGAATGTAAGCTCCATGAGCCAGGCACCCAAACTATGTCCCTTACAAGCAGTAGGAGGAGAATTTGGGCCCACTCACGTGCATGCCCCCTTCTCACTCTCAGATTTAAAACAAATAAAGGCAGATTTAGGGGAATTCTCGGATGATCCTGATAACTATACAGATGTCCTGCAAGGATTGGGGCAGTCCTTTGATCTAACATGGAGAGATACCATGTTGCTTCTTGGTCAGACCTTAAGTCCTAGTGAAAAAGAATCAGCTTTAGCAGCTGTCCAGCAATTTGGGGATCTGTGGTACCTTAGCGAGGTAAATGATGGAATGACCCTGGAAGGAAAGGGAAAAATTCTCCACAGGCAACAGGCAGTCCCCACTGTAGACCCTCACTGGGATTCTGACTCAGATCATGGAAACTGGAGCCACAGGCATTTGCTAACTTGCATTTTAGAAGGGTTGAGGAAGACTAGGAAAAAGCCTATGAATTACTCAATACTATCCACAATTACACAGGGAAAAGAGGAAAACCCCTCCACTTTTCTAGAAAGGCTAAGGAAGGCCCTAAGAAAGCACACATCCCTAACTCCAGATTCCGTAGAAGGCCAACTTATTTTAAAGGATAAATTTATCACCTAATCAGCAGCTGACATTAGGAGAAAACTCCAAAAGTCTGCGTTAGGCCCAGAACAAAATTTGGACACATTATTAAAGCTGGCAACCTCGGTATTCTATAACAGGGACCAAGAGGAACAGGCCAAAAGGGAAAAGCAAGATAAGAGAAAGGCTGCAGCCTTAGTCATGGCCCTCAGAGAGGCAGACCTTGGTGGCTCAGAGGGAACCAAGAGAGGAGCAGGCCAATTGCCTAGTAGGGCTTGTTATCAGTCAAGTTTACAAGGACACTTGAAAAAAGACTGTCCAACAAAAAACAAACTACCCCCTTGCCCATGTCCAATATGCCAAGGCAATCACTGGAAGGTGCACTGCCTCAGAGGACGAAGGCCCTCTAGGCCAGAAGCACCCAACCAGATAATTCAGCAACAGGACCGAGGGTGCCCAGGGCAAGCGCCAGCTCATGCCATCACCCTCACAGAGCCCAGGGTAAGTTTGACTGTTGAGGGCTAGGAAGTGGACTTCCTCCTGGATACTGGCGTGGCCTTCTCAGTTTTAGTCTCCTGCCCTGAGCAATTGTCCTCAAAGTCTGTTACTATCCGAGGAATCTTACGACAGCCTGTAACCAGGTATTTCTCTCGCTTCCTGAGCTGCAATTGGGAGACTGTGCTCTTTTCACGTGCCTTTCTTGTGATGCCCGAAAGTCCCACACCCTTATTAGGGAAGGACGTATTAGACAAAGCTGGGGCCATTATCTACATGAATATGGAGAACAAATTACCCATTTGTTGGCCCCTACTTGAAAAAGGAATCAACTTTGAAGTCTGGGCCTTAAAAGGACAATTTGGAAGGGCAAAGAATGCCCATCCACTCCAAATCAGGCTAAAAGACCCCACCACTTTTCCTTATCAAAGGCAATATCCCTTAAGGCCTGAAACTCTCAAAGGATTACAGAATATTGTTAAATATTTAAAAGCTCAAGGTTTACTAAAAAAAAATGTAGCAGTCCTTACAACACCCCAATCCTAGGAATACAAAAAACAAATGTTCAGTGGAGACTAATGCAAGACCTCAGGTTTCACCTGTCCAACTTCAGGCATTTTTTTCATCTGTGATAACACAGCCTATCCATGCCTAAATGGCACTCTGAAAGAACAATGCTTTCTTTCCTTTCTAGCACCTCCCATGTCCATATATACTGAAGAAGAGTTGCAAAGTCTCCTTATACCCCAATCTCGCCACATGTGAGCCCTTATTGTCCCTTTTACTGTAGGAGCCGGAATACTCGACGGGCTTGGGATTGGAATTGGAGGCACAACTTCCTCCACCCAGTTCTATTATAAATTATCATGAGAATTAAATGATGACATGGAATCAGTTGCCGACTCCCTAGTGACCCTACAAAGCCAGCTTAATTCTCTAGCTACAGTAGTCCTTCAAAACCAAAGACCCCTAGAATTATTAACAGCTGAAAGAGGAGGAACCTGCCTCTTCTTAGAAGAAGAATGTTGCTATTTCGTTAACCAGTCAGAAATCATTACTAAAAAGACAAAAATAAACAAATAAATAAAAGGTAAAAAAAAGGAGCTTGAACACTCAGGGCCCGGGAATATGTTTAACTAATGGATACCTTGGCTCCTCTCCTTTGTAGGCCCTGCGAGAGCAATCCTATTATTACTTGCTTTTGGGCCTTGCATTTTTAACCTCCTTGTCAAATTTGTTTCCTCCAGGTTCGAGACCATCAAGCTACAAGAGGTCTTACAAATGGAATCTCAAATGAGCTCAACTCACGGCTTCTACCGAGGACCCCTGGATCGACCCGCTGGTCCCTCACTAGGCTAAAAAGTTCCCCTCTGGAGGACACCACAACTGCAGGGCCCCTTCTTCGCCCCTAATCAGCAGAAAGTAGCCAGAACGACAGCCGCCCAGGTCCCAACAGGAGTTGGGGTGTCCAATCTAGAGGGGGAACTGAGAGGAGGTTCCAGCTGGGCTTCCTGGGTTGAGTAGGGGCTCAGAAAGTTGTGAAACTCACTCATTTCTTACATCAGGACTTACTTTGGTCCTGGATGAATAATATTGAATATATATGCTTAAAATATTCCTAACACCAGGATTTGTGCATGTGTTTTCTTCCCCAAGAAAGCTATAAACAGCAAAACTTTTGCTGTAAGAATCCCTGTGTCCTCACTCTTTCTCTCCCTTCCCCCTCCCCTAAAACTAAAAGGAATGTTAAAAGTCCATTTTTCTGTGACCAGCAGACCTTATCTATGCTCCCAATTCTGATTCCTTATAAACACAATTTGTAAAATCCTGTGAGATCCTGTCTCCTTTGCCATGCCGCTACAAGGTTATAAAGTAGACAAAACTGAAGTTACAATTCCGGTTTTCCTCAAGATCTGAGACATGTTAATTGTCTTTGTTTCTCGCTCTGGTAGCATCTTCCCCCCACACATATTTCTCGCCTTAAAGAGTTTAAAAGGTGATCAAAAAATCTAACACTGACTACCTGCTCGGGACCCCTTCCATGCTGTGGAAGCTGTGTACTGTCACTCTACTCAACAAAGCCTACAGCTTTTTTTCTCTCAGTCTGATCTCTGTCTCTCACCGCGGGCTGCTGCCACACCAAATCTTTGGCATGGCTAACGCAAGAACCTTTGGCGTTACACTAGGATTATAAGGAACACAATAAAATGATACAGGAAATGAAATACAATATAGGCATCTTAAGAAAGAACCAAACTCAGCTGATAAAGCTGAAAAACTCACTTAAAGAATTTCAGAGTACAATCCTAAGTATTAACAGTAGAATCAACCAAGCTGAGATAAGAATCTCAGAGCTCAAAGACCTGCTTTCTGAAATAAAGGAGTCATACAAAAATTATGAAAAAATAACAAAAAGAAAGAACACAACCTTAGAGAAATATTGGAGATGAAAAGAGACCAAATCTGTGACTCCTTTGCATCCT